>NC_000022.11:31436836-31588351 GCF_000001405.40 Homo sapiens | reverse complement strand
TTGTTCACTGGAACACTCATTTTGAAGCTCTGATAGCTGACTACCCCAAGGCCACCATGCTGTAAGGAAGCCCAAGCCTCACAGAGAGGTCATACACAGGTTCTTTGGTTAACATTCCCAGTTGAGCCCAGTCTTTGAGTCATTCTAATCCAGGATCTAGATGTGTGTGAAGAAAACGTCTAGATAATTCTAACCCCTTGCCATTAGAATCTTTTCAGTTGAGGCTGATCTTGGAGCAGAAACCAACCATTCCCATTAAGTCCTGTCTCAATCTTTGATAATCCATAAAGCATAATAGAATGGTTGTTGTCTTATACCACTGAGTTTGGGGTGATTTTTTACATAGCAATAGATAATTGGATCAGTATGCATATGTATGTGTATGTGAATAGATAGGTACATACACTCCTACCCAAACAGAGGAAGAGAGATACCAGGCTTACCCATCAAATGTCATGAATGGTTTTATTTTTTCTTCTTTATATCTTTTTATACTTCCTAAATTTTCTATAATATCTACACATTGCTTTTCTATTTTTTATTATGGGCATTTTCAAATGTAAACAAAAGTAGAAGCCGACAGTATAATGAATACCCATGACCCTACCATCAAGCTTCAACAGTTAGCAAACATTCGCCATTCTGCAAAGAGCCATCCTTTGGTATTTGTGGGGGACTGGTTCCAGGGCCCCTCTCAGATACCAAAATCCATGGATACTCAAGTATCTTATATAAAATGGTATAGCAGGCCGGGTGCAGTGGCTCATGCCTGTAATCCCAGCACTTTGGGATGCTGAGGCAGGCAGAGCTTGGGAGTTTGAGACCAGCCTGGGTAACATGGTGGCACCCCACCTCTACAAAAAAAAAAACAAAACACAAACATTAGCTGGGCGTGGTGGCTTGCACCTGTAGTCCCAGCTACTTGGGAGGCTGAGGCAGGAGAATCGCTTGAGCCTGGGGAGAGTGAGGCTGCAGTGAGCCAAGATCATGCCACTGTACTCCAGCCTGGGTGACAAAGTGAAACCTGTCTCAAAAACAAAACAAAACAAATAAATTGGCATCTGCATATAACCTACACAGTCCTCCTGTATGCATCTCTAGATTACTCATAATACCCAATACAATGTCAATGCTATGTACATAGTTGTTATGCTATATTGTTTATATATTGTTTAGGGGCTAATGACAAGAAAAAAAGGTCTGAATATGTTCAGTACAGACACAACTACTCTTTTTTTCCTCTGAATATTTTTTATCCATGGTTGGTTGAATCTATGGATGTGGAACCCACAGATACAGAGGGCTGACTGTATGTTACTTTTTAAAAAGGAAGAAACCCACAAAAAATAATATTTTTATCTTGTCTAAGAATAGAAAGATCTGATGTGCTCCTGGGATACCTATACCAAGAGGTGATATTCAGATTGTTAGCTAAAGGTTTAGGAATGACTAAGCAGTGCTCTTCCCATTTTTCAGACCCGCTATACCTTTGAAAGCAGGCCGTGCTAGATCAGTGTGAGAGATGAAAACGCTGACCCTGGACTGTCCGCCAGTGTTGGGCCCCTGTGTCAAGGGGAGTGCTCGTTTTCCAGGAAGGAAATAAAAGAGACCCTCTGCTCTCCACCTTGAATAAATACAACCTTTCAACTCTGACACTCATAGTCTTTTTCTGAAAGGCTTTCCTGCATTCTGGTGAACTTGTATTACATGAACTTAAGATAACAAGTGGCAATGTCTTTTCAAAGCCAGTAACATAATCCAAAGGCATGTCAAAGAATGCAGTGACTCTAGCATTTCTTAAGTGTAGGAGGCAAGAGTGACGCAAAAAGAGGCCATGCCCTGTAGCATCCAAGCTCTATCGACTTAGATCATCCTTGGAAAAAAACTCTGAAGAAATCAACAGCAGTTCATTTGTTGGTCTGTGCATTAATTCATCCAAATATTAGCACATATCCCATGCCAAGCACTGTGGGCTAAGGAGGCAAAAGGGACAGGCTGTACTCTAAAGGACTTCACAGCCTGTGGGGAAAGAGAAGCCAGTGAACAACTATAAGATGAATGTTCTGATAAAGCTATGCCTCTGGGGTAGGGGTGGAGGTGGACTGGCCTGGGGGAGGAGGTGACATCTGAGCTGGAAGGGAGTGTGAAATAGAGAACTGGAGGTACAAAGAGAAGCAGGAGGGCACAGAGGACCTTTAGGGAACCACTGGCAGCTTAACTGGTCAGAGTGCAGTTGTGAAGGAACAGAGTGGTAACAGGAAAGGGGAGAGAAACAGACAGGGACCAGCTCCCGAAGGAGTTTGTAGGCCTTGCTAAAAATTTGGATTCTATCCCCAAACTATAGGGAACTAGCTAACAGGTGAATCTAAAGATTCACCTGTTAGACTCCAACAGAAGATGGAGGTACGGGTAGGGTGGGCAGCACGAAAATAACTGGGAGGAGTTTGGTTTGTGTCTTCCTCTGTTTCACTGCCAGAGATGACCAAAAAGGGGGCACTTCTCACAATGGCAGATGCCATCAACTGAACCCTTTCCCACTGAGTGTAAATATGGCCTTGAAATCCTTCTCACTTCAACATTCCAGACAGGTACTCCCAATTGGTAGAACGGGCTTGTAAGGTCACACTCATTTGTCACCCTGGTGCTAAAGTATGAGCCCTGGGAGAGCAGGAATTTTATTGACTTTATATCACAGTTGTATCCTCAGTGCTTAGTGCAGTGTCTGAAGAACAGCAGTTGCTCAATAAGTATTTCTTAAATGGAATTGAATCTATCTTTCTCAATCTGCCTTTACTTATTTGTGGTCCTGACCTCACATCCTCCACCCCCGGGAGACATGTGTCTCACACTGTTTAGCACTGGGATGCAGCACTTATGCTCTGCACCTCTCCCTGTACCTCTTGCAGGTCCCACTGGGTGAAGGGCTGGCTAACTCAGAGACTAAATGAATTTGAGTAAAGATGTGAATGGCTGATAAGAGCTCAGTACTTTCAGAGAGAACTTGTATTTTCATAGCAGATAAGAAATGGGAGTTATGCAGACTTTCTGATATTAGAGGTGGGAACTGGAAGAAATGACTTTGAGCTTTTTCAACACCCTCTCTTCCAAAGCAGAACGATAAGACTTCTTGGCATAGGTCTTTTCCAAGAATCTTTCCAAAGCAAATGGGTCCAAGAATGTAAGCCAGTAGAGCTATCTGCTAAAAAGTACTCCATACCTGCTTGTACCGCCTCTTCTGAGTATACTGTAGCCACAATTCGATACATTTGCACAGCAGTGCTATTCTGAAACAAAAGGAAGAACACCTTCAGGTTTCAAGTTTTTAAAACTTTGTTTTAAGGCAGGTAAATTGCGGTACAGTTACTTCCTGTGAGTTAAAGGCACCCCATGGGCTTACTAGTTTCATTCTAGGAGAGACGGCAATAAGAACCTGATATCTAATATAAAATTTGTCAACCTCTGATTTTGGACTGTGGATTGCCTAAAATGTTGCAACTTTCTTGTAAAACCTAATTAGACCACCGAAAGCACAGTAGCTCTGGAATTTAGGAAATATGTGTGAAATCCCCTAGATATCCTGAACTTTCTGGTTTCATGGCCAAACGCTGGGGGTCCACGACATGTTGCCTCTCACACTAGGTTTTGTAAACCAGGGTTTGGAATAATATGCCTTGATAACTCTAAATGAGTCAGTTTATTATTGGGATTCTCACTAACTCATTAAAAAATGCTTCAAAATTGGAGCTAAACTATGCAAATTAAGTTGATTATACTGTGGGGAGAGGAAAAAAGGAGGGCAAAGAAAGGAAGGACATATTGAACATTTCTGGCAGCAAGAAAGTTTATACGTAGTGCTTCCTTCTGAGGAGTAAGATCTTACTCTTACTTGTAGGGAGGGGGCCAGGCAACTTTTATTTTTCCCTTTATACTTTCCACCCTATACATTCTGAGTTTTCCTCACAGAAATGTAGTGTTTTTATTTATTTAACTGAATGACTAGCTCTAAAATATTGAGGACATTCCCTGCACACTTTAAGACTGAGTCACAAATGTCCCTGACCCTTCTCTTTAACACTAGCAATGCATGAATTCTAACTTGTGAACATATTGATGCCTGTAGGACCAAGGCAGTGAGCGACCAGGCACATACTTCAGACTATGGTGGCCAAGAACCAATGCAAATATGCTCATTCTATCTCCCATCTGATCAGCCAAAAACCCAAAGTCAGGAACAAATGGTTTACAGCAGGACCTCCACCCCAGCAGGCCTTTCTGAATCTGCCACACTAACGCATAGAAGGGCAAGCAATTACTCCTGGAAAACAGTAAGTCAGAGGCACAAAGTCCCTGAGAGCCAGGGATGAAACCAGAGTCCCTACCTGTAGTGGTCCCAGGCAGCATGCAGTAAGGGGAGCAGCTCTCTTTCCTTTTTCTGCTCAATCTGAGACCGCCAGAGGTTCCAGAACCTGTGCAGCAGCTAAAGCAAGGGAGGAAGAAGATGGAAATGTACTGAGATGAAAGGTAAAACAGTGAATCCTTACTCCAACAGACTGTGAGCTCCCCCAAAGCAGAAATGACCTCAGTTAGGAGCAGCCAACATACAGTGGGCATACAAATTAATGAGGGCTCAACTATAGAGCTATTCTGGGCCAACATAAAAGGCAAAAAGATGGTTCTTCCAGTCTATGGAAATTAGATGAAGAAGCTATTCCTAATCCCACAGAAGACAATGACATTTTAGAAAGCCATTTTAGAAATTAAAACTGATTTTAATGCATATTCCCACCTATGAAGTAGTCTCGCATAAATGTTTAACTTCAATCTAAACAAGCCCTCAGATGTAACGATTATAGGAACCATGTAGACTAAAGGAAAATTAAATGATATAAATGATATCAAAAGGAAACAATCAGATAAATCAATAACATAAAACACTGGGCTGGGCGCAGTAGCTCACACCTGTAATCCCAGCACTTTGGGAGGCCAAGGCGGGTGGATCACCTGAGTTCTTGGGAGTTTGAGACCAGCCTGACCAACAGGGAGAAACCCTGTCTCTACTAAAAATACAAAATTAGCCGGGCGTGATGGCACATGCCTGTAAACCCAGCTACTTGGGAGGCTGAGGCAGGAGAATCGCTTAAACCCGGGAGGTGGAGGTTGCAGTGAGCCGAGATGGCACCATTGCACTCCAGCCTGGGCAACAAGAGTGAAACTCCATCTCAAACAAACAAACAAACAAACAACAACAAAAAAAATTATACAAGGCTAGGCATGGTGGTATGCACCTGTAGTCCTAGCTCCTCAGGAGGTTGAGGCAGGATATTCTCTTGAGCCCAGGAGGATGAGGCTACGATGAGCTACAATCACACCATTGCACTCTAGCCTGGATGACAGAGTGAGACCCTGTCTCTAACAATAATTATTATAATAATAAATAAATTGTATAAACAAAATAACTGGCCTGTCCTTTTTTAAAAAAAGGCAGTCATTTTAAAAAGTATACATTATGCTAAGTGAAATAAGCCAGTTGCAAAAGGACAAATACTATATGATTCCACCTATGAGGTCTCTAGAATAATCTAATTTATAGAGACAGAAAGTAGAATGGTGGTTTCCAGGGGCTGAGGAAAGAGGAAATGGGTACAGAGTTTCAATTTTGCAAGATGAAAAAGTTCTAGAGATGAATAGTGATGATGATTGCACAATGTGGATGTACATGTCACTGAACTGTACACTTAAAAATGGTTAAGGTGATAAAGTTTAAGTGATGTATCTTTTACCACAATTAAAAAATATAATAGGCCGGGTGTCGTGGCTCACGCCTGTAATCCCAACACTTTGGGAGGCCGAGGTGGGAGGATCACCAAAGGTCAGGAGTTTGAGACCAGCCTGGCCAACACGGTGAAACCCCATCTCTACTAAAAATACAAAAATTGGCCAGGCGTGATGGTGTGCGTCTGTAGTCCCAGCTACCTGGGAGGCTGAGGCAGGAGAACAGTTTGAACACGGAAGGTGGAGGTTGCAGTGAGCCGAGATCAAGCTACTTACTGCACTCCAGCCTGGGCGAGAGCGAGACCCGGTTTCAAAAAAAAAAAAAAAAAAAAAAAAAAAAAAATATATATATATATATATATATATATATATAAAATGTAATAAAGAAGTGTTGTTGGGGGAAGGAAAGTTCTAGATTAAAAGCTTTAAGAAATATAGCAACAAAATCCATTTCTGCTAAAAATCAATCAGAAAAGAACCAAATGGAGTTAGTGATCCTTAACTGCATTCTGGTTTGTAAAAAGCAGCTACAAATAAGACATTTTTAAGACAACTATGGAAATTTGAATGTTGACTAGATATTAATGTTAGGGAATCACTGTTACTTTTCTTAGGGATGATAATGACATTGTCGTTACATAAGAAAATGTCTCTGAGTGACGCATGCTGAAATATTTAGGTGCAAAGTGTCATGATGTCTATAATTTACTTTGAAATTATTCAGCAAAAAACAATGAGGCAAACATAGCAAATATTAACAATTACTATATCCAGGTAGTGACTATATAGAGGCTTATTATACTTTTTTTTCCTATTTTTCTGTATGTTTAAACATTTTTCATAAAATAGTAACAGGGAAAAAAATCCTACACCAAGAAAGTAGAGACAATATATGTTGGCATCAAGTAAACAAACCATTGTTTTATAATGGACTTACAATGGAAGTGAATAGACTTACAATAGAAACACAACCAAAGCCTCCTATTGGGGCCGGGCATGGTGGCTCATGTCTGTAATCCCAGCACTTTAGGAGGCCGAGGCAGGTGGATTGCTTGAGGCCAGGAGTTTGCGACCAGCCCAACCAACATGGGGAAAAACCCGTCTCTACTAAAAATACAAAAAAATTAGCTGGGCTTGGTGGTGCACACCTGTGATCCCAGCTACTTGGGAGGCTGAGACATGAGAATCGCTTGAACTTGGGAGGTGGAGGTTGCAGTGAGTTGAGATCGCACCACTGCAGCTGCACACCAGCCTGGGCAACAGAGCAAGACCCTGTCTCAAAAAAAAAAAAAGTATATTTGGGCCAGGTGCGGTGGCTCACACCTGTAATCCCAGCACTTTGAGAGGCGAAGGTGGGCAGATCACTTGAGCCCAGGAGTTTGAGATCAGCCTAGGCAACATAGTAGGACCCCATCTACAAAAAATACAAAAATTAGCTGGGTGTGGTGGCTTACAGCTGTAGTCCCAACTACTTGGGAGGCTGAGGCAGGAGGATCACTTGAACCTGCAGTGATCTACTGCACTACAGCCTGGGTGACAGAACAAGACCCTGCCTCTAAATAAGTAAAGAAAAAAAGAAAGTATTTGTATCACTATATCCCCTAGGTCAGGTTTAAAATCCACAGTCCCTGAACTTTGAGTCAACTATCCATTTCTTGGCAAATAGATAAAAAAATGGGATCAAACAAGTTTTTCTATCAGCAGGTATGGATTACCAAAGAAAATGCAAACTAAAAAGGCCGAGCATGGTGACTCACGCCTGTAATCCCAGCACTTTGGGAGGCTGAGGCGGGTGGATCATCTGAAGTCAGGAGTTCGAGACAAGCCTGGCCAACATGGTGAAACCTCGTCTCTACTACAAATACAAAAATTAGGAAGGTGTAGTGGCGCATGCCTGTAATCCCAGCTACTCAAGAGGCTGAGGCAGGAGAATTGCTTGAACCCGGGAGGCGGAGGTTGCAGTGAGCTGAGATCGTGCCACTGTATTACAGTCTGGGCAATAGAGAAAGACTGTCTCAAAAAAAAAAAAAAAAAAAAGAAAAGAAAAGAAAGAAAGAAAATGCAAACTAAGGTTTTACAGTTGACAGTCTGGACAAATCTTGAAGCACAAAAAGTTTTTTTAAAAAGAGTTCTGCTTAATTTGGCAAGACTGAAAAAAAGAGCGAGAGAGAATGGCCTTCAGAAGAGGTCCCTTGATACAGAAGACAACCCTCACCGTGACACCATGCTGCTGGTGAGCAAGATTCCTTCTTATTTGCTGGAGATGAGCGTGGGTCACATTGTCTTTTAGGGCTCTAAAGCAAAAATACTGTGCAAAGAAAGGACACAACTGATTACAAGGACTGGGATCAGTAGAGTCTGTAAACTAAGAGTAGAGGAAGGCAAACAGTGCCTCAAATCAGCGGGGAGAAGCTTGGTCACAGCTTCTTGTAGCTGTTCCATCTCCCTGAGTGTTTCTCTGCTTTGAGATTCAACTGGGAGCCTAACACAAGCCAGCCTGCACAGCAGGCACTTAATAAATATTTGCTGAACCCTCCCTGCTGTCCATCTATACTGCACAAGAACAAACACACCCACACCAGGAAAGAACCCCATGACCCACATGACAATTCTACAGACCAAGGTAAACATCAACTGTTGCCTCTCAGGAGAAGACAGACTTTTTGTCTGTGGTGGTTTTTGTTTTTTTACCATGTGGGCTCAGTGCATACATTTGTATGATTATAAATGCAGTGCTGCTAAAATGGAAGAAGGAATCTTTAGTGAAAGGAAGGGTTGGAGTTGGGCCAGGATGGACCTGGATCCAGCTCCATCAATAATGCCTAAAAGGCCAGGTGCAGTGGCTCACACCTGTAATCCCAACACTTTAGGATGCTGAGGCAGGAGGACTGCTTGAGCACAGGAGTTCAAGACCAGCCTGGCCAACAGAAGGAGACTCCGTCTGTATAAAAAAACTAAAAAATTAGGCCGGGCGTGGTGGCTCACGCCTGTAATCCCAGCACTTTGGGAGGCCGAGGCGGGCGGATCACGAGGTCAGGAGATCGAGACCATCTTGGCTAACATGGTGAAACCCCGTCTCTATTAAACATACAAAAAATTAGCTGGGTGTGGTGGCAGGCACCTGTAGTCCCAGCTACTCGGGAGGCTGAGGCAGGAGAATGGCGTGAACCCCGGAGGCAGAGCTTGCAGTGAGCCAAGATAGCACCACTGCACTCCAGGCTGGGTGACAGAGCGAGACTCTGTCTCAAAAAAAAAAAAAATCTAAAAAATTAGTTGGGCATGGTGGCATGTGCCTGTGGTCCCAGCTGCTTGGGAGGCTGAAGTGGAAGGATCACTTGAGTCCAGGAGTTCAAGGCTGCAGCAAGCTATGATTTTAACACTGCACTCCAGCCTGGGTGACAGAGGAGACCCTATCTCTAATAATAATAGTAATGATAATAATACTAATGCCTCAACACTGGGCCTGGTGGCACATGCCTATAGTCCCAGCTACTCAGGAGGCTGAGGTGGGAGGATTGCTTGAGCCCAGAAGTTTGAATCTAGCCTGGACAACATAGTGAGACCGCATCTCTAAAAAATAATAATAATGCCTCACAAATTGGCTAAGCAAAGCTGATTTGCCCATACTTCCCCATGCCTTAGGCTTCAATTTTCTGAGACAGAAGTGAAGATATCAGACTGGATTAGGGGTTTTCGTACTGTGCTTTGTGGAGCCCCAGAGGCTCCTGAAAACATATGAAGACCACCTCGTGTAGCAAGGGAAGGGAAGAGTAGCAGGTAGAACAGGGACGGACTCCCTGACGTGCTTCAACCACAGCATGGCTACTTTGACCTATTTTATAGGTGAGGCTTCCGCCACTCAAAAGGGGTTTTACCATGTAAAAAAAGCTCAGGACTAAATAATCTCTGAGGTTCCTTTACAGCTCCATACCCCTCTGACCCTACAACATTAGCACCTGTAATCCAAAATGAAAAGAAGGACACCCACAATGAAAGGAGGGCTTCATGACCAAAACTCACCCATAGCTGACTGCATTTAATGAAGGTGATAGGGGTCAGGGTCCCCCAAGAGTGGATACCCAAGCAAGGCTGCCAAGCGGACCCGTGCCAGGATGCAGGGCTCTTACCAGCTGGCTGTGCCTGTGGTGCTCTTCTGCCATCTCAAACTGGGCAGCTTCTTCTGCACACAGCAGCATGTCTGCCAGGAAGTGAAGGCCTCCAGTCCCAACAAGGTTCTGACCCCTACACAGTGCATTCTCAGCAAGCCACCTTGAAGGGCCGTGGCTATCGGGGATAACACACGTGCCAGGTGGGCTGAGGTCCACCTCTGTCTACTCCTGATGACCCAGGGAAGCAGTGGGCAAAGGGAAACCCTGTCAGTTACTGATCAAACATCTGGTCTTGCATTCCTCCCCTTGAATGCCCATGAGATGAGACGCAAAAAATACCTGAGATAAACTGCTATCAATTTCAGTAAACATTTAGAAATCACCATATCTAAAGCAGAATCTGCTCCTTTTTCTATAGTCTCTGTTTTGGCATCACAATCCAGTTAGATATTTGAGCTAAAAACCTTGGAGTTATTTTCAAACCTTTTCTCCTCCCACTCTCATCTAATCGGTCGCCAAGTCCATCTGTTCCCTTCCTAAATCTCTTGGCTCTCTCCATCCCCTTCTGCTCTTCTGTCCCCACCCCCAACACCCTGCAGTTCATCCAACTCGTCCCTTACGTAGACTGGTAAGTGAGCCTCCTCCCATAACTGGTCTCCCACCAGTGCTAGCCTCTCTCCGCTAATCCAGAATTATCCTTTCCAAAGCACAAATCTGACTGCACTTCTTTTCTTTTTTAAGAGACTGGGTCTCACTCTGTCACCCAGGCTGTAGGGCAAGGGTGCCATCATAGTTCACTGTAGCCTCAAACTCCTGAGTTCAAGCGATCCTCCCAAAGCACTTGGATTACAGGTGTGAGCCACTGCCCCCAGCCTCTTCTCTTCTTAAAAACCCCTGAAGCCGGGTGTGATGGTGTGTGCCTGTAGTTTCACCTACTTCGTAGGCTGAGGGGGGAGGATTGCTTAAGCCCAGGAGTTCAAGACTGTAGTGAGCTACCATTGCGCCTGTGAAAGCCACTGCACTCCAGCCTGGGCAACATGTGACCCTGTCTCTAAATTTTTAAAAGTTAAAAAACCTCCAGAGGTTCCTGCATCTACCTTCCCACCATCCCTACCTCCACAGCCCACTGGATTCTTGAATGCTTTTCCTCACTGAAATGCCTTTTCCAACCTTCTGCAGTCTTCCCCTAAGACATCAACCTTCCCAACTTCTCATCTCCTATGACTTAGACTCTGCACAAACATTACCTCCTTGGCTGAATCTCCACAGTCGCTCTCACAGGACTTCATACAAATCTTTATGATAGGAATTATCATGCCATATTTAAAGACATATTTTCATGTCTATTTCCCCCACTAGACAATGAACTATCATTAGTCTGAGCTTCCTCATATCCCAGAATTTAAGCAGGAGTTTATACAAAGCAAGACTTTGATGAACAAATAAAATGTGTGGATGAACATCCTAGGCAGTCCAAATTCTCACACTTGGGCACACAGTATGGTAGGGGTAGTGATTAAGAATATGGCTGGGTGCGGTGGCTCAGGCCTGTAATCACAGCACTTTGGAAGGCCGAGGCGGGCAGATCACCTGAGGTCGTCAGGAGTTTGAGACCAGCCTGACTAACATGGAGAAACCCTGTCTCTACTAAAAATACAAAAAAATTAGCCGGACATGGTGGTGCATGCCTGTAATCCCAGCTACTCGTGGGGCTGAGGCCGGAGAATCGCTTGAACCCGGAAGGCAGAGGTTGTGGTGAGCCAAGATTGGGCCATTGCACTCCAGCTTGGGCTACAAGAGCGAAACTCCATCTCAAAAAAAAAAAGGGAAAAAAAAGAGTTTATACATAGAGCTGGACGCGGTGGCTCACGCCGGTAATCCCAGTACTTTAAGAGGCCGAGGCAAGTGGATCACTTTGGGTCAGGAGTTCGAGACCAGCCTGGCCAACATGGAGAAACCCCATGTCTACTAAAAGCACAAAAATTAGCTGGGCATGGTGGTGGCCGCCTGTAATCCCAGCTACTCAGGAGGCTGAGACAGGACAATCACTTGAACCCGGGAGGCAGAGGTTGCGGTAAGCTGAGATGGCACCACTGCAATCCAGCCTGGGTGACAGAGCGAGACTCTGTCTCAAAAAAAAAAAAGAGGCTGGGTACGCTGGCTCATGCCTGTAATCCCAGCACTTCGGGAGGCTGAGGTGGGTGGATCACCTGAAGTCAAGAGTTCGAGACCAGCCTGGCCAACATGGCGAAACCCCGTCTCTACTAAAAATACAAAAATTAGCCAGGCGTGGTGGCACATGCCTGTAATCCCAGCTACTCGTGAGGCTAAGGCAGGAGAATCGCTTGAACCTGGGAGGCGGAGATTGCAGTGAGCCGAGATTGTACCACTGCACTCCAGCCTGGGTGACAGAGCAAGAGTCCATCTCAAAAAAAAAAAAAAAGAATATGTACACAGGAGTTAAAGGCCTAGGTTTTGAAAATCTTGACTCTGCCAATGACCTGTGACTTTAGAATACACTCAGCTCCTCTGAATCTCTTTCCTCGTCTGTAAAATGGTAATAGTGGCACCTACTCCACAGCGTTGCTATGAGGATGAAGAGGATGATGCATAATGTCTGCTACGTAGTAAAAGCGCAATAAATGGAAACTATGATCACGGTGATGGTATCACCAAGAAAAAGATAGTGGTGGCTATTTCCACCACCTAGTGGGTAGAGAAAAGCACTTAAATTGTAACACCAAAAAATGTGAATCAGGAAAGTGGGATTACCTCTGAGGGAAAAGAAAAAGAACGCAGTCAGGGAGGAGCAAATAGGTGTGCTAGGAAGGTTCTATTTTGAAAGTTGGGTGATAAGATATATAGTTGTTCATTTTATTATTTTTAAACTATATATAAGCACTCTTTTTATACACAATCCCAATTAAACAAAAATTTTAAGACTGTCAACAGAGATAAGGCTGTTTTGAATCGTTTGGCAATTGTTTCCCATGTATCTCATGACTTTCGTTTCACATGCTGCTGAGCTCATGCTGTCCTGGCTGAGGCAATGGACAGCCTGAGTATCTGAAAGGATACAGTGTTTCCAGTGAGTAAAGGCGCGCCGCAGGGCCATCTTCCTGGCCAGTTTCTCCACCTGGGCATGGTGAGCGTACAAGCTCTCCCTCCGCTCCCAGGCCTGCTGCCAGTCACAGAAGTATATCTGGAGCACAGTGACATGATGGAATCGCTCAGCCATCTCTGCAACAGAGAAATAACTTAAGTGCTACTCCCCTAAGGTTAGATGAGCTGGAAACATCTTTAAGACAAGCTGAACCCCACTACTGGCAGAGAGCAGGGGTTCAAGGCCACACACACACACACACACACACACACACACACACACGCACTAAGTTTTTTTTTTTTTTTCTTTGAGTTGGAGTCTCGCTCTGTTGCCCAGGCTGGAGTGCAGTGGCGGGATCTCGGCTCACTGCAACCTATGCCTCCCAGGTTCCAGCGATTCTCCTGCCTCAGCCTCCCAAGTTGCTAGAATTACAGGCATGTGCCACCACCCCTGGCTGATTTTTCTGCATTTTTAATAGAGATGGGGTTTCACCATGTTAGCCAAGCTGGTCTCGAACTCCTGACCTCAAGTGATCCGCCCGCCTCAGCCTCTCACAGTGCTGGGATTACAGACGTGAGCCACCGCGCCCGGCCAAAATACAAGTTTTTTAAACCTTGAAAGGTCATTAGGAATCCCTGAGCTACATCTCCTCTCTCCAAGGAAAGAGAAAAGGTCTGTGATTTTAGGGAGGAGGATGCTATAAAATCAGTTACATCAAAGGGCTGAGGCTTCTAGTTAGATACTGATGAACAGAAATGAAAACTGTTACTTTCAAAAAGGACTGTTTTACTTTTGCTTCTAAACAAATGTCTCCTGGATAGGACTTAGAGATTGAGTCAATGACATAAAATTCAGTTGCCACGCTGGCATAGGCTTTTTTGAGCTTTCAGCCAACCTGATCCTGGCTGCCAGCTTCATCTCCTTTTAATGCTAGTCAGATAATGGTCTGATGAGCTAGGGCCTGGGAAGGGGATGGGAATCAGACCTGGAATTTGAATGCTGTAATTGGAGGCAGGCATTAGTCTATAGCTTATCATACTAAACAGCTTAATGCCTTCACATTCCAGGACTGGGCAACTGGACTGTTGGTCTGGGGTCACTATCCTCCAATGAACATATTCAAACTCTCCCAAGAGACAGTGTTGGCAGCGTAAGAGATTTCTGCAGGGAGGTTTGGGTGAACGCCAGAGACCCTTAACCCAGTGTCTAGCACAGTGCTTGACTTACTTTGGTATAAACTCAATAAACTTAAGTTAAAAAGTGTACTAATGTTCACATTTCTATGTATTATTACTTCTGAATCTAATTGGGAAACAAAACCATATAAACAGTATCCAAAAAACTCAACATCAAAATCACATGCATTTGCATAACTGGAGACAAACAGAAACTATCCAAATATCTATTAATAGGAGAATGGCTAAGTATATTAAGGTAAGCCATCCTATAAAATATGAATAGTTGTTAAAAAATAACATTTACGACAAATACTTAAGATGTAGGGAAGTGTTGATTAACTGTGTGGAAAAAAGGAAGATACAAAACCATAGGTTATCAACATATTAATCAAAATAATTACAATACTTATAGCAAAATGAAAACCCTATTTAGATAAAAAATATACAGAAGAGGCCGGAAACAGTGGCTCACGCCTGCAATCCCAGCACTTTGGGAGGCTGAGGCAGGCGGATCACCTGAGGTCAGGAGTTTGAGACTAGCCTGGCCAAAGTTATGAAACCCCATCTTTACTAAAAATACAAAAATTAGCCGGGCGAGGTGGTGGGCACCTGTGATCCCAACTACTAGGGAGGCTGAGGCAGAAGAATCACCTGAACCCAGGAGACGGAGGTTGCAGTGAGCCGAGATTGCGCCACTGCACTCCAGCCTGGGTGACAAGAGCGAAACTCCATCTCAAAAAAAAAAAAAAAATCTATCTACAGATAGCTAGATAGATATAGATACAGATATATAAATAAAAGCCCAAAGAGAAATAAATGTGACTCAAGGATGATGTATTTTCCTCCTTAATCTCCTTTTACCAAAATTTCTGGAGTAGCACCATTATATTACTTCTTAGTACAGTACCACTGGCAGCAGGAGAGTGAAACTGTGACCAGATCCTCTATCTCGAGAGCCTGGAGCTTCCTACTCACCATTCTGCTGTCTCTTCACTCTGCGGACTTGCAGGTATTCAAGCCAGGCCTTTAGAAATCTCCGTTTTTGCCAGTGCTGATGATGTTTCACTGCAGAGACAACCTTTTGTTTCTCCTTCTGGACATACAGGAGCTGTTCCCGCCACTGTGACCAAGCCTGAAAACCAGAGAAGAGGCAACAGTCAAAGGAGAGGCAGGAAAACAGGGTGAAGTACAGGTGGAGAGGGAAAAGAGAAAGGCACACACGCTGGAAAGGCTGAAATTAGAAACAAGGAAGTGGCAATCCCCTAGCAGGATGATAAGCTATGGGACCGTGGGGTAAAAGGGTCTTTAAGAGGGACATTCTGCTTTCAAAAGTAATTTTTTCCTGGATTAAAAAAAAGAAGAATAAAATCAACAAGCAGAAAGCAGATGGCTGGTGCAGTGGCTCTCGCCTGTAATCCCAGCACTTTGGGAGGCCGAGGAGGGCAGATCACCTGAGGTTAGGAGTTTGAGACCAGCCTGCCCAACATGGCAAAACCCCGTCTCTACTAAAAATACAAAAAATTAGCTGGGCGTGATGGTGGGTGCCTATAATCCCAGCTACTCAGGAGGCTGAGGCAGGAGAATCACTTGAACCCAGGACGTGGAGGTTGCAGTGAGCTGAGATCACACCACTGCACTCCAGCCTGGGCGACAAGAGCGACCAACTCAAAACAAAAACAAAAACAAGCAGACAAGGAGCAGAAACAATCCGAGGGGTGATATAATTAATTCAGATTTGGGATAAGTGAGGGTCTGCCTTTTCTTCCAAAGTCAGAGGAAGCCTACTGTAAAGTAGTCCTTTTTCAGGCAGATTAGTTCCAGGGATGCCTATATATAGAAGCTAAGGGTCTACAAGGGTCTATAAATGCACACCCTTAGATCAGTGATAATGCATGTCCTAATCTGAAGACGACTTAGACAAAGACTTCATATCTTTTCTTCAGCCTGTCGCACCTCTCCTTTCCCTCCTCTCAACTGAATACCATCGTTCCCATTTCACTAAGAAAATAAAAGCAATCAAAAGGAAATTTCCTTAAGGTCCACCATGTTTAACTACCCACCTGCCCACGGGCTCTGTCTTCTCTCTTTCCTGCTACTCTGGATGAACCGCCCATGCTCCCACCAACGTCAGTCCCCTCCCAACCCTGTCCAGCTCTGGCTATCTCTCACCTTCCCGAGTTTACTGCCTTGGCAGTTCCCCTCTTACGAATCATCAGTTTTCACTCTCTATAGATTTTTGAAATCAGCATATCAATGTGCTATTATTTTTCCTATCCTAAAAAAAAAAATCTTCAAGATGTAACAACTAAAAGCAATGGGTGACCTTTAATTAGACTATGGAAATGAAAATAGCAACAATATACAGTTTTAATATGAACTGCATGTTATATATTATATCAATATTAAATTTCTTGGAATATAATAATGATATTATGGTTATGTGGGAGACCATCCTTTTTAGGAGATATACACTTTAAGATAAACTTTGTGTCTACAATTTTAGAGCAGCTCAGACAAAATAAATGTATTTATATACTTAAAGAAAGCAAATGTGGCAAGATGTTAACAATGGGTTGGTGGGGCGGGGTGGCTCACACCTGTAATCTCAGCACTTTGGGAGCCCAAGGCAGGAGGATTGCTTGACCTCAGGAGTTTGAGCCCAGCCTGGGAAACATGGCGAAACTCTGTCTCTACCAAAAAAAAAAAAAAATTAGCCAGGCATGGTGGTGTGTACCTGTAGTCCCAGCTACTTGGGAGGCTGAGGTGGGAGGATCGCTTGAGCCTGGTAGGTTGAGGCTGCAGTGAGCAGTGATCATACCACTGCACTCTAGTCTGGGCAACAGAGTGAGACCCTGTCTCAAAAAAACCAAACCAAACCAAACCAAAAAACCACAATCGGTTAAACTAGGTGAAACACAGACAGTATCCACCTTTTCTATGATTTGGTGTTTGTCAGTAATAAAAAGTTGTTGGGGAAAGACTGCCATCACAAAAATACTTTCTGAAAGGAATAAACCAGTGATTCTTAAACAAACAAAGCAACACCCCTCTCTAGACTCTAGACCGCATTGTGCCATCCAGCTAACACTTTGGTTCTTTCTGTTTCAAGCTCCTCAAAAGAGCTATTTTCTAATCTTTCTGTCTCCCAGGCAGGCTTTCTTGAGCCCGCTCCCACAGGCTTACTGAATGAAACTACTCTTATCAAGTGCATCGGCAATCTCCACATCGCTCAATCCAAAGGTCAGATTTTGGTCCTCACCTCCCTTGACCTGCCAGAAGTGTCTGACAAAGCCTTCCTCCTTCCTTCACCTGGCTTTCGGGATGTGTCCCTGCTTTGTTCCTGTTGCTGACTCCCACCTCTGTGCACCTCGCAGGCTCAGCCCTGGAACCTCTCATCTAGCTACACTCACTCCTTTTATTTTTTCACCCACCCTAGTAGCTTTTTTTAAAAAAACAGATGGGGTCTCTCTATGTTGCCCAGGCTGGTCTTGAACTCTTGGGCTCAAGCAATCCTCCCGCCTCAGCGTCCCAAAGTGTTGGGATTTACAGGCATGAGCCACCGCACCCCGCTCACTCTAGTAACTTTACATACCATCTGCCTACTAAGAACTCCTGAATTTCCCAAATGTACCTCCCATCCTGGCCCCATCCTCAGTATTCCACACATATATCCCAATATCCCACTGCCTCCTTAACATAGCTTCTTGTGGCTATTCAAAAGGCCTATCAGGCTGAAGATAGAGTCCAGAATTGGGCTCCTCCTAATCTCTTCCCACAAACCTGCTTCTCCTGCAGTCTTTCCTATTTCAGTAAATGGCACTCCATTGTTCCAACTGCTTAGGCCAAAACTTGGAAGTCATCTTGGACGCTAAAACTTCGTATCTCATCCATACATCTTTTAAAGATGTCAGTTACATCTTTTAAAGACATTGAGAATCCAACCACCGTCTTCTTATCATCTTTGTGGAAAATCTCACCTGGAATTTTGTAATAGCTTCTTACCTGTCCTCCCTGTTTATATCCTTGATCATCTCTGATTTATTTATTTATTTATTTATTTATTTATTGACAGAGTCTCATTCTGTTACTCAGACTGCCAGACTGAAGTGCAATGGCAAGAATACGGCTCACTGCAGCCTCAACCTCCTGGGCTTAAGCAATCTTCCTGCCTCAGCCTCCTGAGCAGCTGGGACCACAGGCATGCACCACCATGCCCAGCTAATTTTTTTTTTTTTTTTTTTTGAGATAGGTTCTTGCTCCATTGCCCAGGCTAGAGGGCAGTGGTACAATCATAGCTCACTACAGCCTCAATTTCCCGGACTCAGGTGATCCTCCCACTTAGCCTCCTGAGTAGCTGGGACTACAGACACATGCCACCATAACAGGATAATTTTTTGTATTTTTTGTAGAGACAGGGTTTCACCATGTTGCTCAGGCTGGTCTCAGATGCTAGGGCTCAAGCTGTCCCCCCGCCTTGGCTTCCCAAAGTGCTGGGATTACAGACATCTGCCACCACGCCTGGCTCTGATGTACTCCTAACACAACAGCCAGAGTGGTCCATTTTGGTTCGCTTTAATTGTTAGGTCACTTAAAGTTCTGTTTTATATGACAACTTCCCTTCCTGCTTTTTTTCTCTTTCATGCCATCAATCTACTAGAGAAATCAAGTCATCTATCCTATAAAATGTCCTACATTTTGGATTTGGCTGACTGTAACCTCGAGGTGTCTTTAACTTGTTCCTCTGACCCCTGTATTTCCTATAAACTGAGAGATTTGCATTAGGCTTGGAGTCATGTTCAATTTTTTAGGCAAGAACAGTTCATGAATGTGGCTGGGTACTTCCCCTTACATAGTATCATGAGGCACATCATGTCTGGCTGCCACAGTTGTAGCAATGCCAAGATTGTTTGGTGGATTCAGATGGCAGGTAGCCAGATTTCTCCTATATTTTCCCACCATCCTCTCACCTAGTGATGGCTTCCTAGATCTATGTCCTCATTAGGGGTGGCAAAACAGCAATTTTCTAGTTCTAGTATTCCTTCAGCATTTATTAACTGGAATTCTTCTATAAAGAAGGCTTCTCTCTCATTAACCCTCTGGTTTCTTGGAGTTAACAGTTTATATAGGAAAGGTGGGATAAATGCTTAATTTTTTGCCTTTAATTTTTAAAGAATTAAAATGCTTTAATTTTTAAAGAATTTAGTTAACTCCCCTAACAACCCAAAATCATGACCGATGAGTTCCACTTTCTTTGAAAATTATTTCAAATGCATGAATTTTTATGTATTTGATGTTTTCAATCTACTGGGCTCAAGTGATCCTCCTGCCTCAGCTTCCTGAGTAGCTGGGACTACAGGCACCACTATGCCTAGCTTATTGTTTTTTGATGCTCAAACTTTTCTATCTTAAGCCCTGGGAACCCTTCCAAATTGGTTCCTGAGTCCTTCTGACACAATTCCATTAGCTTTTGTTAAGTTCCTTAGTCCTAGGTGTATCTTGTCTATTTCCTGCCCCGGACCTATAATCAGCCATTTCTCTAAAAAGCCCTGGTTCCTATTAGTGGGAAATAGTTAAGACCACAACTTGGGCACTGGGGATACTAAATGCTATATTACTGTCACTGCTTCTAATGCTTTTTTTTTTTTTTTTTTTTTTTTTGAGACAGGGTCTCACCCTGTCGCCCAGGCTGAAGTGCAGTTGGCACAATCTCAGCTCACTGCAACCTCTGCTTCCTGGATTCAAGTGATTCTCGTGCTCAGCCTCCCAGGTAGCTGGGATTACAGGTGCCCACCACCACCATGCCCGGCTAATTTTTTTGTATGTTTAGTAGAGACGGGATTTCACCATGTTGGCCAGGCTAGTCTCGAACTCCTGACCTCGGGTGATCCACCTGCCTCTGCCTCCCAAAGTGCTGGGAGCCATCGCGCCAGACCAGAAATGCATTTATGGTAAAAAAAAAAAAATATATATATATATATACACACACACACACACAACACACACACACACACACACACACACACATATATATATAGAGAGAGAGAGAGTCCATATTGATATTTACAGTTCCAATTGCAGATTTCTTTGCTTTTTATACTTGTAATCTTTTCTTTTCTATTGAAGATCTTTATTCCTAACAACACTGCCATAATTATTTGCTTTATCTTACAATGTAACTATAATACTTTCAATGTAACAATTTCAAACCTCCTAGCAACAATAACACTTGTTTTACTAAGAATGTGGTTTTAGATTTCTTAGCAGTTCATTACGTCCTTTTAACACATTCCACCAGGGTGAACAGTCAAAATATTGTATTTTAAAGTTACTTGAAGTAATTATTCTCTGTGTAGTCATTGCCACAAACTTGATATGTTCGTTTCAGTTTGTTTTGAAAATCTGGCAATTGTTTTTTTATTTACTCTTGCTTTGTAATTATATAAAATATATGCATAGTTCCAAAGTTAAAACTATGTAACAAAGTAAATTCACAGAAGTACTTTATTCCTATACCCTTCTCTCCCTCCTCCTATAGGTAACCATTTTTTGGTAAGTTTTTCATTTATTTTTCCATTATTCCTTCTTGAAAATATAAGCAAACAGACACACACACCCCCCCCCTCCACAAACACACAGACACACATTCATATATATCCTTCCCTTTCTTACCCCAAAAGCAGCACACTATGAATCAAAGAATCCTGTTAAGAGGTAGGTATAATCATGTCACTCCTCTGCTCAGAGCCAGCAGCTCTTCACCTTCCCAGGAATAAAAGTCAAAGCCTTTTTTATCAGGCACAGCCTGCCAGGCCCTGCGTTCTGGCTCCCTGTTACCTCATAACCTCATCCTTCCTACTCTCCTTCTCAAGCTCAGCAATATATTATGAGATATATCAAATTCAAAGATGAAATGACTCAATATGACAATTTTTCTAACCTAATAAGCTGTCAGTCAGTACATTGTAATAAAAATCCTAATAGGCTTGGCCAGGTGCGGTGGCTCACGCCTGTAATCCCAACACTTTGGGAGGCCGAGGTGGGCGGATCATGAGGTCAGGAGATCGAGACCATCCTGGCTAACACGGTGAAACCCCGTCTCTACTAAAAATACAAAAAATTAGCCAGGCGTGGTGGCAGGTGCCTATAGTCCCAGCTACTCGGGAGGCTGAGGCAGAAGAATGGCGTGAACCCAGGAGGTGGAGCTTGCAGTGAGCCGAGATCGCACCACTGCACTCCAGCCTGGGTGACAGAGTGAGACATGTCTCAAAAGAAAAAAAAAATTCCTAATAGGCTTTGTTATAGAACTTGACAAGTTGCTCCTAAAATTAATAAGAAAGAGTACAGAAGAACAATTAAGACAAGTTTAAAAACAAAACAAGAATAAAGGAGATTCTCTGTCAAATATAGAGCCTTGAGAACTATATGTCAAGTAGGAATATAAACAGCTAGCATTTACTGAGCATTTCCACATTCCAGGCATTGCTCTGAGTATATTAATAACTGGATCATCCTCCTGAAGCCTCAATAATCTCATGAGGTAGGTACTATTACAATCTACTTACAGATAAGAATTCTGAGGTACAAACAGATGAAATAACTCATTCAAAGGCACAAAGCTAATAGGTGATAGAGGCAGAATTCCACTTGGACAGTCTGACTCAAGAACCTACACTGTTGCTTACTGCTTCATCAAATCGTAACTAAACCAGTATGGCATTGGTATGGTCTGGATAGACAAATACATGAATGGAAGACAGAGCCGAGAAACAGATCCGTGAATAATTAAAAGAAACTGGGGGCCGGGCATGGTGGCTCACGCCTGTAATCCCAACACTTTGGGAGGCAGAGGCAGGCGGATCACTTGAGGTAAGGAGTTCAAGACAGCCTGGCCAACATGGTGAAACCCCATCTCTACTAAAAATACAATAATTAGCTGGATGTGGTGGAGCACACCTGTAGTCCCAGCTACATGGGAAGCTGAGGCAGAAGAATTGCTTGAACCTGGGAGGCGGAGATTGCAGTGAGCTGAGATTGTGCCACTGCACGGAGTCTCAAAAAAAAAAAAAAAATAGAAAAAGAATGCTCTTGGTAGTACTGTTCGTAATTCTAAAAAGCAGAGGAAGTCAACAGTCCATCAGTAAGTAAGCAGATAAATGGTGCCTTGTTTATACAATGGCATAATATACACAGTTAATAGATCTCTGTCTATCCACATAGATAGGGCCAGGCATGGTGGCTCAGGCCTGTAATCCCAGCACTTTAAGAAGCCAAGGTGTAAGAACTGCTTGAGGCCGTGAGTTCAAGAACAGCCTGGGCAACAGAGAAAGACCCTGTCTCTATTTTAAAAAAGGAAGAAAGAAATCACATGGCTAAACCTCAAAAATATACCGTTGCACTAAAAAAACAAGTTGCAAAGCACAGTATGACAACATTCATAAATGTCCTAACTACACAAAGCCATACCATTTACTTATTTATTTATTTATTTTTGAGACAGGGTCTTGCTCTGTTGCCCAAGCTGGAGTGCAGTGGCATGATCAATGGCTCACTGCAGCCTTGACCTCCCAGGTTCAAGTGATCCTCCAACCTAAGCCTCCCAAGTAGCTGGGACAACAGGCATGCGCCACCACGTCTAGCTAATTTTTTTTTTTTTTTTGTAGAGATGGGGTCTCACTATGTTGCCTAGTCTGGTCTTGAACTCCTAAACTCAAGTGATCCTCTTATTTTGGCCTCCCAAAGTCCTAGTATTCAGGTGTAGGCCACCGTGACCCCTCCCGCCTTTTTAAGTGATGGGGTCTCATTATATTGCCCAGGCTAGCCTCAAACACTTGACCTCAAGTGATCATCCTGCCACAGCCTCCCGAGTAGATGGGACTACAGGAGTGTACCACATGTTTATTCTTTACAGATATGTGCACATATTTTTATAAGAAAAAAGAATATAGGAGAACAATCATACCAGAATCAAAAGAGTGGCTATCTCTAAGGAGGAGAGGCAGTAGAAGGGACGGAGGGAGGGTAAAGCTTTGGCAGTGTCCATTAAATTTTGTTACTTTAAAAAATTCTGGGCCGGGCACGGTGGCTCACGCCTGTAATCCCAGCACTTTGGGAAGCCAAGGCAGGCGGATCACGAGGTCAGGAGATCGAGACCATCCTGGCTAACATGGTGAAACCCCATCTCCACTAAAAAATACAAAAAAAAAAAAAAATTAGCCAGGCGTTGTGGCGGGCGCCTGTAGTCCCAGCTACTTGGGAGGCTGAGGCAGGAGAATGACGTGAACCCGGGAGGCGGAGCTTGCAGTGAGCCAACATCGCGATACTGCACTCCAGCCTGGGCGACAGAGCAAGACTCCGTCTCAAAAAAAAAAAAAAAAATTCTGGGCCAGGCATGGTGGCTCATGCCTGTAATCCCAGCACTTTGGGAGGCCGAGGCGGGTGGATCACTTGAGCTCAGGAGTTTCAGACCAGCCTGGGCAACATGGTGAGACCTCGACTCCACAAGGGAAAAAAAAAAAATATTAGCCAGGCATGGTAGCACATGCCTGTGTTCTCAGCTACTTGGGAGGCTGAGGTGGGAGGATCACTTAAGCCTGGGAGGTCAAGACTACAGTGAGCCATGATGGTACCACTGCACTCCAGACTGGGCAGCAGAGTAAGATCCTGTCCCCCAAAAAATAACTTAAAAAAAATTCTGGAGCAAGTATAGAAAATGCTAACACCTTTTAAATCTGGGTGAGGGTGTTGAGTACTTGGCTATCTGCTAATTTTTTTTTTTTTGCAAGTATAGAAAATGCTAACACCTTTTAAATCTGGGTGAGGCTGGTGAGTACTTGGCTAGCTGCTAATTTTTTTTTTTTTTTTTTGAGATGGAGTCTTGCTCTGTCGCCCAGGCTGGAGTGCAGTGGCGTGATCTCAGCTCACTGCAAGCTCTGCCTCCCAGGTTCATGTCATTCTCCTGCCTCAGCCTCCTGAGTAGCTGGGACTACAGGCACCCACCACCACGCCCGGCTAATTTTTTGTATTTTTAGTAGAGACGGGGTTTCACCGTGTTAGCCAGGATGGTCTCCATCTCCTGACCTCATGATCCGCCCACCTCAGCCTCCCAAAGTGCTGGGATTACAGGTGTGAGCCACCGCGCCTGGCCTATCTGCTAATATTTTTCTAAGTGTTTTATATTTTATGTGTTTCTATGTTTGAAATACCAAATTTAATTTTAAATTTTAAATTAAAATTAAAATTTTACATATTTCATGATGTCTTACCTGCCTAGTGCATAGAGATGCTGTGTAGATTAAGACGTGTAGGCTGGGTGTGGTGGCTCACCCCTGTAATCCCAGCACTTTGGGAGGCCGAGGGGCAGGTGGATCACTTGCGGTCAGGAGTTCGAGACCAGCCTGGCCAACATGGCAAAACCCCGTCTCTATCAAAAATACAAAATTAGACAGGCATGGTGGCGCGTGCCTGTAATCCCAGCTACTTGGGAGGCTGAGGCAGGAGAATCGCTTGAACCCGGGAGGCAGGGGTTGCAGTGAGCCAAGATCGTGCCACTGCACTCCAGCCTGGGCAAAAGAGTGAGACTGTCTCAAAACAAAAAAACAAACAACAACAAACAAGAAAAGGGGAATTCTAAACATGTTCTGAGCAACAGTAGCATCAGTAGAATGAGTTTATGGCCTCTCAAAGTGGCTCTTAGAAAGGGAAGAAAACTAGCACAGTTGTCCACCGATGACAGAAAATCAGTCTCATTATGTTTAGTTTCCCTATATTCACAGTCAGTCTATAAGTTTAGTCAGTATCCCTGCATTTATAGCATTTTCCCATTTATCAGTTCCATCTCCCTCCTGAGGTTACAAGTCTATTCAGCACAATACTGCATGGTGATTATGATAATGATGCAGGCCAGGCGCGGTGGTTCACGCCTGTAATCCCAGCACTTTGGGAGGCTGAGGCAGGCAGATTGCCTGAGCTCAGGAGTTAGCAACCACCCTGGGCAACACGGTGAAACCCCATCACTACTAAAATACAAAAAATTAGCCAGGCGTGGCGGCATGCGTCTGAGTCCCAGCTACTTGGGAGGCTGAGGCAGGAGAATTGCTTGAACCTGGGAGGCAGAGGTTGCAGTGAGGCAAGATCGCGCCACTGCACTCCAGTCTGGGTGACAGAGCGAGCAATACTCTGTCTCAAAACATATATATATATATATATAAAAGATGATGATGCAGCTTTCTGGCTGCTTAGGTTAAAACCTGGCTCCAAGCGGCCGGATGTGGTGGCTCACGCCTGTAATACCAGTACTTTGGGAGGCCGATGCAGGCCATCACAAGGTCAGGAGATCAAGACCATCCTGGCTAACATGGTGAAACCCCGTCTCTACTAAAGATACAAAAAATTAGCCGGGCGTGGTGGCGGGCACCTGCAGTCCCAGCTACTCAGGAGGCTGAGGCAGGATGATGGCGTGAACCCAGGAGGCAGAGCTTGCAGTGAGCCAAGACTGTGCCACTCCACTCCAGCCTGGGTGACAGAGCGAGACTCTGTCTCAAAAAATCAAAAAAAAATAAAAAAACCTGGCTCTAAGCTTCACTATACATGTGACCCTAGTTCAAGTTATTTAACCTTCCTGGTTCCCTTAACAATAATATGGGACTTTTAAAAAAGGTTTATGAAAATTAGATAATGCACGTAAAGCACTTAGTCTAGCACCTAACACAAGTAAGACCACAATAAAATCTACTTCTTTTTTTTTTTTTTTTTTGAGACAGGGCCCCAACTCAGTCACTCAGGCTGCAGTTGCTACTGCTATTGGTACTGTTATTATTATTGGCGAGAACTGTGTCTCTTATTTCCTTGCTATTGCCTCAGAAGACCTTACAAGTTCAGAGGTCAGCAAACTTTTTCTTAAAGGGTCAGAAAACAAATAGTTTAGTCTTTGTAGACCATAAGGTCTCTGTTACAACTACCCTACACTGCTCTTGTAATCTGAAAGCAGCCTCAGATGATATATAAATGAATGAGTGTAGCAGCATCCCAATAAAACTTTATTTACAAAAACAGAAAGCAGGCCAAATTTGGCCTGTGAGCCAGTTTGCTGATCACTGATCTAGATGACTATATATGCTATTTGCATGTGATCTGCACGTATTCACATGGACTATGCAATTTGTTGTTAGAATAAGAAGATACTATTCCTACATTTGGAAACAGGCACTAATTTTTTTTTTCCTCTTCTCTGTTCTATTTCCTATAACTTATTTGGCAGCTCTGTAAGTACCCAGCAGACACAAAAACATGACAAGAATTCAGAGAATATGTCAAAGGATAAGAAAGTTTTAGTACAGGCCTTAGCCATTTATGATTGACAAAAAAAGCTAGTGGCTTGCCTAAAAGAACACTCTAAGACAATCAAAACTATAAAGAAAAGGAAGACAGGTTTTCTTTTCAGTCTTAAGTTTCTTTTCTGCCCCAATTATTTTCTGATTTGCTGTAGGAAAACAGCAACGAGGAAATCAGAGTATACTGCTGTTTCTCTAAACATGTTTATAACTAATTCATAAATCCCTCTCCAGCTCCACAATTACCAGAAGCACTCTGGAAGCCACTGATCTAGGCTCATCTAGGACAAGCCTCTACTTTATTCCTAACAGCAGCCTCCCTCTGGAAGAGCCCAGCCTTCCAGATTACCTCTGTCCCCACCCCCTCTCAGGCCCTGAGCTGCAGGGAAGGCCCAGCACTGCCCTCTGTGGGTGAGAGGCTTGACAACACTGACAGAGGATGCCAAATCCCACGTCTGCTGGACTCACCTGCACCTGGAGGCTCAGGGCCCTGTGCTTCAAAGCAGAGGCATGGAGGGCACGGCTCACACGGACCTGTCCTAGTCGCTGCCTCCACGTGCTCCACCACACCCTGTGAAACAGCAAATCAAAGATGGAATCCATCAGTAAAAAGCCACTCAGGAAAGAGAGGAGCAGTTAGTGTGGGGCCTCAGACCCTCAGCTCTAGTCCTCTCCTTCATAGTACCATCTCTAGATTCACTGCTGGGGAAAAAAATAAAACAAAACAATTGAGAAAAAGTCCCAGATCTGCCCATTAATGGTTGGAAACTTATGGTTCCTACGGTCAGATCCTGCTTTAGACACCACAGACATGCTCTGTTTGACCTACACAGTTTGATTTGTTAAAAGATATGTTATGGCCTGGTACGGTGGCTTACACCTGTAATCACAGCACTTTGGGAGGCCGAGGAGAGTGGATTACCTGAGGTCAGGAGTTAAAAGACTAGCCTGGCCAACACAGTGAAACCCTGTCTCTATTAAAAATACAAAAATAGCCAGGTGGTAGTGGCATGCTCCTGTAATCCCAGCTACTCGGGAGGCTGAGGCAGGAGAATAGCTTGAACCCAGGAAGCAGAGGTTGCAGTGAGCTGAGATCACGCCACTGCACTCTAGCCTGGGTGACAGAGTGAGACTCCATCTCGGGAAAAAAAAAAAAAAGGCCAGGCGTGGTGGCTCACGCCTGTAATCCTAGCACTTTGGGAGGCTGAGGCAGGTGGATTACTTGAGGTCAGGAGTTCAAAACCAGCTTGGCCATCATGGTGAAACCCCGTCTCTACTAAAAATACAAAAAATTAGCTGGACATGGTGGTGTGTGCCTGTAATCCCTGCTACTTGGGAGGCTGAGGCAGGAGAATCTCTTGAACCCAGGAGGCAGAGGTGGCTGTGAGCCAAGATCGTGCCACTATACTCCAGCCTGGGTGACAGAGTGAGACTCCACCTCAAAAAAAAAAAAAAAAAAAGAGTATTACCAACATTTGAAAATCAGGAGATTTCACAAAATAATCTGCAATCAAGTGGCTTTTAGATTTCTAGTCTTGTATGTATCCTTTTCTTTCCTAGAATCCTGGTCAGACTTTTGTTTCAGTCTTGTTTTTTTTTTCCTACTAATTTTCGAATTTGCTCTAGGAAAAGAGTCATGGGGAAATAAGAGTTTACAACCTGTGCTTTACAGAAACACTCACTTTTCCTGGTCACTCTAACCTACAAAGATTTCTCTTAGACCAGGCTCACTTGCAGCACTCACTGCAAAACCTCAAGCTATCTCACATTATCACTTATCTTCTTATGCATCCAGGGAATCACAAATTCCCTGAATACAGCCCCAGCATCAATACAGTACCAATAACATTTTACTTATTTATTACTTTATTTATATTTTTTAGGTATATAAACTACTTATTAACAGACAAGGCCTGCAGACTTATTTCTTCTTGGACCCGCCCATGGTACAGCCATGGTGGCCAGTGGTCTTGGTGTGCTGGCCTCGGACACGAAGGCCCCAGAAGTGGTGCGGTCCTCTATGGGCCTGAATCTTCTTCAGTCGCTCCACATCTGCACGGAGCTTCTTGTCCAGACCACTGGCTAGGACCTGGCTATATTTTCCATCCTTTACATCCTTCCGTCTGTTCAAGAACCAGTCTGGGATCTTGTACTGGCATGGATTCTGCATAATGGTCATCACACGTTCCATCTCATCCTCAGTGAGTTCTCCTGCCCACTTGGTGAGGTCAACGTCAGCTTTCCTCAACACTATGAGTGTACTGTCAACCCACATCCTTAATGGCAGTGATGGCAAAGCCTATTTTCTGCTGCCCGTTGATGTTGCTGTTGAGTATTCGCAAAATACGCTGGAACTTTTCAGGGATCACTAGAGACATAGCAGGAACACAACTGGCGGTGTGTAGGCCTCCCGCGGAAGCCATTTTTTTTATTTTTTCGAGACAGAGTCTCACTCTGTTGCCCAGGGTGCAGTGGAGTGGCACAATCTCGACTCACTGCAACGTCTGCCTTGTTTGTTCAAGCGGTTCTCATGCCTCAGCCTCCCGAGTAGCTGGGATTATAGGCGTGCACCATCAAACCAGGCTAACTTTTGTATTTTTTTAGTAGAGACAGTTTCACTATGTTGGCCAGGCTGGTCTTAAACTCCTGGCCTCAGGTAATTCACCAGCCTCAGCCTCCCAAAGTGCTGGGATTACAGGCATGAGTCCCTGTGCCTGGCCCAGTACCAAGAACATTTTAAACCCTCAATAAATAGGCTGGGCCCGGTGGCTCATGCCTATAATCTCAGCACTTTGGGAAGCCGAGGCGGGTGGATCATCTGAGGTCAGGAGTTCAAGACCAGCCTGGCCAATGTGGTGAAACCCCATCTCTACTAAAAATACAAAAAATTAGCTAGGTATGGTGTAATCCCAGTTACTTGGGAGGCTGAGGCAGGAGAATCACTTGAACCCAGGAAGCAGAGCTTGCAGTCAGCCAAGATTGTGCCATGGCACTCCAGCCTGGACGAAACAGTGAGACTCTGTCTCAAATAAATAAATAAATGTACGTTGAGTAAATGAATTAATTATATAAAAATATCACTCAGGCCAGGCGCGGTGGCTCATGCCTGGAATCCCAGCACTTGGAGAGGCTGAGGCCGGTGAATCATGAGGTCAGGAGTTCGAGACAAGGCTGGCCAACATGGTGAAACCCTGCCTCTAGTAAAAATACAAAAAATTAGCTGGGCATGGTGGCAGGCGCCTGTAATCCCAGCTACTCGAGAGGCCAAGGCAGAAGAATCGCTTGAACCTGGAAGGCTTGAACCCAGAAGGTTGCAGTGAGCCAAGATCACACCACTGCACTCCAGCCTGGGGAACAGTGTGAGACTCCATCTCATAAAAAAAAAAAAAAAATTCACTCAGACTCAAGTAAAACTGCATACTAATTAGGCATTTTGAAATACTTGCTAAATACATTTTAAGTAATGATTTTAATTATTTAAAAAAATTTTTTGTGTGTAGAGATAGGGTCTTGGCTTTGTTGCCCAGGCTGGTCTCAAACTCCCGGCCTCAAGCAAGCCTCCCATCTTAGCCTCCCAAAGTGTTGGGATTACAGGTTTGAACTACTGCACTCTGCCTATTTTATTTCTACTTAAATAACTTCTTTATGTCCACTGATTTTCTGGACACTGTTAAATACTTTACAGATATTACTTTATTTATTCCTGATGACAAACCTTTAAGTATGGTGTAACTATTTCACAGATGAGGAAAATAAGAGCTGAAGAGATGAAATGACCCAATAATACAGGTTGGAAGAGGGATTCAAACCCAAGTAAGTGCAGCTGCAAAGCCTCTCCTATTATCCATACTTTGTTCAATACCCAACTTTCAGGCAGGAAGTGAATTATTAATATATTACCATTCAGGACACCAGTGGACAACTACAGACAACATAGAGTGAAATCTGTCCCATGATAATGCAGCTCATTGTTACATATCTGGCTATAAAAGTGGACTAATTCATGTTCTTCCAGTATGTCTACAATGCTGATGGGCTGCAATGCAGAAGACCAGTTAAGAGCATGGGTGGGTGAGCCCTAGTTTTGCCAATTACAACCTGTATGTGCTAGGCAAGTTACTCAACCTCTCTGAGCCTTATTGTACATCTTAATCTGTACAATAATGGTACTTACAGTTTACGGTAAGGGTTAAATAAGATACTTTACATTACAAAATTAACACATGCACACACAAACTTAACACAGGGTTTAGAACACAGTAAGCACTCAATTCATGTTAATTATGATTATGTGAAAATCGATCTTATAAACAAGTTATCAGTAAATCTTTATTAGGCATCAACTATGTTCAAAATATTGTTTCAAGGTGGGAAGGGGGCATGGTGGCTCATGCCTATAATCCCAGCACTTTGGGAGGCTGAGGTGGGCAGATCGCTTGAGCCCACGAACTCAAGACCAGCCTGGGAAACATGATAAAACCTCGCCTCTACAAAAAAATGAAAAAAAAAAAAACATTAGCTGGGCATAGTGGCGCATGCCTGTAGTCCTAGCTACTTGGGAGGCTGAGGTGGAAGGACTGCTTGAACCTGGGAGGTGGAAGTTGCAGTAAGCTGAGATTGGGCCACTACACTCCAACCTGGGTGACAGAGTAAGACCCTATCTCGAAAAAAACAAAACACAAAAATAAAACCAAATACAAACCATTGTTTTAAGGTGAGGTTTTATGCTGTTTTCCAGCACCATAAAGCTGATGAGGTAAAATGATGGCTGGTACTTTGTAGGGCAGTTGAGCAGACTCACCGTAAGATAATCCGTTGCCTAAACTCCAGAGCTGTAGTCTGCATCTGAAGTTTGGTCCTACGAACAACCACGTAGATCAACCAGGACTTCCAGGCCTGTCGCATCTTTTGCTTTGCATCTAGATTCACCAAAGAGATTTTTCAAAAGGCATGGGGAGAGATGGATTACTCTGGGTTATGATAAAAGCTCAAGGGCTCTCCTTTGAATACCTAAATCCCTCCAGCCTACAAGTGACCCCTGCTGGAAAAGTTGTGAAGCACTAGAAAATTAATTAGAGTGCAAGAACACATGAAGGCTCTGTGCAAGTAACGACATTTACAAAGCATTTAAAGGAAAACCCATGTACTGAACTGCTCAAAAACCCTTTGCTTTAAAAGCGCTTATTTCTATAGATATACTCTGCAATTTTTAGACGAAATGATATGAATAAACAGGCAGCAAAGAAGTGGAGAGATGGATCTAACAAAAATGGCATGAGTGATAATCAAAGCTGGGTAATGGATACATGGAGGTTCATTATTCTATTAAATATCTTTCAGTCTGGGCACAGTGGCTCACGCCTGTAATCCCAGCACTTTGGAAGGCCGAGATGGGCAGATCACCTGAGGTCAGGAGTTCGAGACCAACCTGACCAACGTGGTGAAACCCCATCTCTACTAAAAGTACAAAAATTAGCCAGGTGTGGTGGCGTGCGCCTGTAGTCCCAGCTACTCAGGAGGCTGAGGCAGGAGAATTGCTAAACCTGGGAGGGAGAGGTTGCAGTGAGCTGAGATCACGCCATTGCACTCTAGCCTGGGCGACAGAGCAAGACTCCGTCTCAAAAAAAAAAAAAAGAAAAGAAAAAAAAATTTCAATTGTATAGATATTTAAAGTTTTCCATAATACAAAGCTAAAGAAGAAGAAATCATGATATAAAACTTGCTGTTTGACTCCAAGCTCACTCTTTTTAGTAAAGAAAAGATAATTTACTAGATATGGAAGATGCAATGGCCCACAGGTCTCCCTTTGTGGTAAATTGTATTTTCATTATGAAAGTCACCACTAATAAGTAAATTACCACTTATAAGCAAATTTCTCTTCTTTTTAGAAGACAAAGGAGAAAATAAAATTATATAAATCATTTTTAGGACAGCCTCCAAGATGTAGTCGACAGGACTATAACTATATATTTCACAGTTGTTGACAAGACAAATCAACATACGAAGGAGAATTTAACATGTATCTTCCTTGGTTTCACTGTGGACCTCAGGAATCAGCATACTTCAGGTAATCAGGACTAGTATAGTGCTGTGGTTTAGAGTTTGGGATCCTGAGTAAGACAAGCCAGACTTACTGGCCCTTTCATTTATTACACACCTAATCTCATACAAGTTCCTCATCTGTAAAATGGTGCCTCTCTCAGAGTTATGTTTGGAAAGTGTAAATGAGATGATTTAACTATGAAAAATATCTAAAATAAACACTAACTGCTCTTTCCAGAGTATGGAACACAGGAATCTCATTAACTGTCTCTGCCATGATTCTGATGCACGTGACAACTGAGAACCATGCTTCCTTAAGGCCTAAAAGTACTTGCAAACTTTTCATTTAACAGTCCAAGAGTGAATGGACACTCCCTGAGGTCTAGGGGAATGGCCTGAAATAACTTGTCTTATGTCAGAAATAACTCTTGCCTCTTGAGTAGCTGGGACTGCAGGCATGCACCACCACACCTGGCTAATTTTTGTATTTTTTTGTAGAGATGAGGTTTTGCCATGTTGCTTGGGCTGGTCTCGAACTCCTGGGCCCAAGCAATCTTCCCACCTCAGCCTCCCAAAGTGCTGGGATTATAGGCGTGAGCCACCGCCTATAAAAAAGTCATCCAAGTGACTTTTTCCTTCTATTCCATAATATCTAGCTAGATTCACTGTAACTATAAATAAGACAGCAGAATGTACATTCTTCAAGTAAATATAGAACATTTACAAGATAGAGCATATTTGGGGCCACAGAACAAACCTTAACAAAAATAAAGGAACTGAAATCATACTAAGTCTTGTTCTCTGACAATAATAGAATAAACTAGAAATCCTTAACAGAAAGATATTGGGAAACTCCCAAATATTAGAAAACTAAACACACTTCTAAATAATCTGTGGGGCAAAGATGAGGTCTCAGGGAAAATCAGAAAACAAGTTTTTACTGAATGAAAACAGAAATATAACTTATTAAAATTCGTGTAATATAGTTAGTGTTTAAGAGAACTTTATAGCAGTAAATGTCTCTACTAAAAATACAAAAAAAAAATTAGCCGGGCGTGGTGGCAGGTACCTTTACTCCCAGCTACTCAGTAGTCTGAGGCAAGATAATTGCTTGAACCCAGGAGGCAGAGGCTGCAGTGAGCCGAGATCACGCCACTCTGCACTCCATCCTGGGTGACAAAGTGAGGCTCCATCTGAAAAAAAAAAAAAAAGGCTGGGCGCAGTGGCTCAAGCCTGTAATCCCAGCACTTTGGGAGGCCGAGGTGGGCGGATCACGAGGTCAGGAGATCAAGACCATCCTGGCTAACACTGTGAAATCCCGTCTCTATTAAAAATACAAAAAATTAGCCGGGCGGGGTGGTGGGCACCTGTAGTCCCAGCTAATTGGGAGGCTGAGGTAGGAGAATGGCGTGAATCCGGGAGGTGGAGCTTGCGGTGAGCCGAGATCGTGCCACTGCACTCCAGCCTGGGCAATAGAGCGAGACTCCATCTCAAAATTTAAAAAAAAGAAAAAAGAAAAAGAAATAATAAATTAACTTAGCAAGGATGCAGGATATACAAGATCCATATGTAAAACTACAGAATGTTTAGGAGAAAACATAAGAGGAAATCTTTGTGACCCTGGGTTAAGGCAAAGTTCTTAGAGATGACATCTAAGATAGGATATGAAAAAATATAATCCAGCTGGGCACAGTGGCTCATGACTGTAATCCCAGGGCTTTGGGAAGCCGAAGTGGGAGAACTGCTTGAGGCCAGGAGTTTCAGACCAGCCTGGGCAACAAAGCAAGACCCCCATCTCTGTAAAATATAAAAAACTTAGCCAGGTATGGTGGGGCATTGTCTGTAGTCCCAGCTACTTGGGAGGCTGAGGTCAGAGCCTAGGAGTTCCAGGCTGCAATGGGTTATCCTCACACCACTGCACTCCAACCTGGGCAACAGTGGGACTCTCGCAAAAAAAAAAAAAAAAAAAAAAAAAAAAAACATAATCCATTAAAAAAAAATAGAATGGACTTCATCAAAATTAAAAACTTTTCCTCTGCAAAAGATACTGTTAAGAGAATGAAAAGACAAGTCACAGACTAGGAGAAAACATAGCAAATCATGCTTTGACAAAATGCTTATAACAGAATACATATTTTAAAAAACCAGCTGGGCTTGGTGGCTCACCCCTGTGGTCCCAGCACTTTGGGAGGCCGAGGCAGGTGGATCCCCTGAGGTCAGGAGTTCCAGATCACCCTGGCTAACATGGTGAAACCCTGTCTCTACTGAAAAAAAAAAAAAAAAAAAAAATACAAAAATTAGCTGGGCATGGTAGCGCACCATGTAGTCCCAGCTACTCGGGAGGCTAAGGTGGGAGAATCACTTAAACCCGGGAGGTCGAGGTTGCAGTGAGCCGAGATTGCGCCACTGCACTCCAGCCTGGGCAAGAGTGAGATTCCGTGTCAAAAAAAACCAAACCAACCAAACAAACAAAAAACTTTCAAATCTCAAAAAGAACACAAACAACCCAATTTAAAAGGACAAAAGATCATGAACAGATACTTCACCAAACAGATATAAATAGCAAATAAGCACAGGAAAAGATACTCAACATCACTAATTATCAGAGAAATGCAAACTAAAACCACAATGAGATATCATCTTACACTAGTCAGAACGACTGTTATTAAAAAGTTAGGCTGGGTGCAGTGGCTTATGCTTGTAATCCTAGCACTTTTGGAGGCTGAGGAAGGAGAATCACTGGAGCCCAGGGGTCCAAGACCAGCTTGGGCAACATAGCCAGACCCTGTCTCCATAACATATAAAAAGTTAGCCAGGTGTGGTAGCACATGCCTACGGTCCCAGCTACTCAGGAGTCTGAGGTGGGAGGATTACTTGGCCCAGGAAGTCAAGGCTGCAGTGAGCTATGACCAAGCCACTGCACTCCAGCCTGGGTGACACAGCAAGACATCCCCTGTCTTTAAAAAAAAAAAGTTTAATAACAGATGTTGGCATGCACGTGGAGAAAGGGAACACTTAACACACTGGTGGTGGGAATATAAATTAGTTGAACCTCTATGGAAAACAGTATGGAGATTTCTCAAAGAACTAAAAACAGAACCACCATTCGACCCAGCAATCCCACTAGCGGGAATCTACCCAAACGAAGAGAAATTATTATATTAAAAAGACACCTGCTCTCATATGTTCACTGCAGCACTATTCTCAACAGCAAAGTCATGGAATCAACCTCAGCATCCATCAACAGATACAGAAAATATACACCACAGCCGGGCGTGGTGGCTCATGCCTGCAATCTCAGTACTTTGGGAGGCCGAGGCAGGCAGATCACTGAGGTCAGGAGTTTGAGACCAGCCTGGCCAATATAGTGAAACCTTGTCTCTACTAAAAATACAAAAATTAGTTGGGCATGGTGGCACACGCCTGTAGTCCCAGGTACTTGAGAGGCTGAGGCAGAAGCAACACTTGAACCCAGGAGGTGGAGGCTGCAGTGAGCCGAGATCACACCACTGCACTCCAGCCTGGGTGACAGAGTGAGACAGTCTCAAATAAAAAAAAAAGAAAGAAAATACACACCATGGAATACCACCCAGCCATAAAAAAGAATGAAATCATGTCCTTTGCACCAACATGGATGGAGCTGGAGGCCATTATCCTAAGTGAACTAACTCAGAAACAGAAAATCAAATACCACATATTCTCACTTATAAGCGGGAGCTAAACTGTTGGTACACACAGACATAAAGGTGGAGATAATAGACACTGGGGACTCCAAACGAGGGGAAGGGAGGGTGGAAGAGGCCCAAGGGTTGAAAAATTACCTATCATGTACAACGTTCACTATTTGGGTAGTGGACAGTCAAATCTCCATCATTATGCAGTATACTCATGTAACACCAATTTTTAAAAACCCACAATTAAATGCCTGTATACACCTATTAGTATGGCCAAAGAAAAAATTTTAATGACAATACAAAGAGGTCAAGAGGATGCAGAGCAAGTAGAACTCTCGTGAATTACTGGTGGGAATGCAAAATGGCACAGCCATGATAAAAAACCTTGCCAGTTTCTTATAGAATTAAACTTAAGGCCAGGCACAGTGGCTCACACCTGTATTGCCAGCACTTTGGGAGAGCGAGGCAGGTGGATTGCTTTAGTCCAGGAGTTTGAAACCAGCCTGGGCAACATGGCAAAAGCCCATCTCTACCAAAAATACAAAAATTTAGCTGTATGTGGTAGTGTGTATCAAAGTCTTAGAACTGAACTTCAAAAAGAATGAATCTTACTGTATGTATTAAAAAAATAAACAACAAACAGCGTAAGTTACTTACCAGTGAAACAGTGCATTTGGTGCAGTAATCATGAGGCTTGGGTAAGAGCTTCTCATACTTTGGGAATACAGACAGGGGAAAGATCACTGGGCTGGGGGAGATCAAGGAAAGCTACACATTTAAATGGGCCTGAAGGAAGAACTACAGGGACAAAGATGGAAAGATAAAGAAGTGCACATCCAGTGTGTCAAGGGCAGAGGGTGCAAAGCAGAAGAAATGAAGACCTTGTACGACATACCAAGCAGGGTTAACTTTACGTAAAGGAGTGTCATGATCTTATCTATGTCTTACCACTCTTGCAGCTATGTGTACAATGAGAAGCACGAAAAAATAAATGAGGGAGATTAATGAAGTGGCACTTACAACACTCTGGGAAAAAGATGAGGATTACTCTCAGGCAGTAGCAATGCAACGATGATTGCAAGTGATGCCTCAGAGGGCCTTCTTAAAAGATTAGGTAAGTGATGACATGAGGCATGAGGAATGGACACCATTCCTAAGTAAGTCTTCCTAGACAGAAGAGTCAAAGGAACAGCAGGTGTAAGTGGTAGGGGAGTTGACAGGTTGTACTTGTGACTTGCAGAGTTTGAGCTACCTTTAGGACATTCTGCTGCTAATGCAGCCTGTATTATCATTTTGAAACTCTAGGTCTTTTTCCCTTAGACTCTCCATGTGTTTCTGGGCTCAATTCACAAGAGAAACCAGACTCTGACCAGACCTAAAGTGGCCACAGTATCACTAAGGGACAACTTGAGCAAAGCAGATCAGAAAAGAGCACTGCAGCTCTGCTCCAGAGTCTCTGGGCAACTTGACGCAGCAAGATAGATGGCAGCCCCAGGTGCCACAGGAGAGTCACAGCCAGCCCACTGAACCAGCAGGCCAGGAACAGCCAGTTCACACAAATTCTGATTAAATGAGTTTTAAGGGCTCAAACCATGCCATATGGAGAAAACCATAGGGATCAATCATACAGGTGCCCACTCAGAGATCACACTTTCTGAAAAATATGAAAGAGAATCAAACAAATCTTCCTTTGGCCTAGAGTTCCTCTCTCTCTGAGACAATGTGTTTGTCCTTCCTATGACCTTCTGCAAAGTAAATGTGGGCATCTTCTTCAGACATGGACTTCTTTTTCTCACCATGAACCTCGGCTCTAATGTACTTGTTCCTCATCTCCTGCTGCTGACGCACATAGGTCTTCCACGTCTGGAACATCAGGTTGTACAGGTAATACCTGAGGAGCCAAAAAAAGTAAATGGCATTTCTTCAAAATAACAGGCCGGGCGCGGTGGCTCACACCTGTAACCCTAGCACTTTGGGAGGCCAAGGCAAGGAGTTCAAGACCAGCCTGGCCGATATGGTGAAACCCCATCTCAACTAAAAATACCGTGTGCCGGGTGTGGTGGCACACGTCTATAATCCCACCTACTCCGGAGGCTGAGGCAGGAGAATCACTTGAACCCAGGAGGTGGAGGTTGCAGTGAGCCGAGATCGCATGCCACTGCACTCCAGCCTGGACAACAGAGCAAGACTCTGTCTCAAGAAACAAACAAACAAACAAACAACAACAACAAAACAACTCCTAACCCAACACACCAAGTCTGTTCTATACTCAGAAGAAATGAACAGGGACGCTTCTGATTAAAAAAAAAAAAAAGCCATATCTGCACCAAAGCTAAAATTTCATTTCCTACAATCACAATGAACTCTATTCTCTTTGAAGAAGAGTCATTCTCTATACCTTAAAGTGTCACTGAGGAAGAAAAGGCTTGACTTCTCCAAGAATAAGTTCACTTTCATCATCCACAAATTCATGATGTTTGGGCCAGGCACAGTAGCTCACGCCTGTAATCTCAGCACTCTGGGAGGCTGAGGCAGGCAGACCACCTGAGGTTGGGAGTTCGAGACCAGCCTGGTCAATATGGTGAAACCCCGTCTTTACTAAAAATATAAAAATTAGCCACTCGTAGTAGCATGTGCCTGTAGTCTCAGCTACTCAGGAGGCTGAGGCAGGAGGGAGGCTGAGGCAGGAGAATGGCTTGAACCTGGGAGGCAGTGGTTGCAGTGAGCCAAGATTGTTCCACTGCACTCCAGCCCGGGTGACACCGAGACTCTGTCTCAAATTCAATTAAAAAAAAAAAAATCCATGATGTTTGGAATGACAATCTTGTCTTTTTTTTTTTTTTTTTTTTTTTTTTTACACAGGGTCTCACTCTGTCACCTAGGCTGGAGTACAGTAATGTGAACATGGCTCACTGTAGCCTTGAGCCCTCCCTGGGCTCAGGTACTCCTCCCACCTTGGCCTCAGAGTAGCTGGGACTACAGGAACGCACCACCACTCCTGGCTAATTTTTGTATTTTTTTGTAGAGGGGGATTTTGCCATGTTCCCTAGGCTGGTCTCGAACTCCTGGGCTCAAGTGATCCTCTTGCCCTGGCCTCCCAAAGTGCTAGGATTACAGGTGTGAGCTACCATGCCTGGCCGACAGTCACATCCTAATTATCTTAACTATCCACACTGTAAAAAACATCACTTCTCGTTTGCACTACAATATGCTCATTGACACCTTTTCCTTCTTCTTGATACATACACTATACATCTTAAGACCTTCATCTCTTCATATTTTCCTAGTTTTAAATATTTTATTAACATTCATTTAAAAAAGAATTTTTTTTTTTTTGAGACAGAGTCTCACTCTGTCGTCCAGACTGGAGTGCAGTGGCATGATCTTGGCCCACTGCAACCTCCGACTCCTGGGTTCAAGCAATTCTTCTGCCTCAGCCTCCCGAGTGGCTGGGACTACAGGCACATGCCACCATGCCCAGCTAATTTTTTTTTTTTTTTTGGAGACGGAGTCTTGCTTTGTTGCCCAGGCTGGAGTACAGTGGTGCGATCTCGACTCACTGCAGTCTCCGCCTCCTGGGTTCAATTAATTTTCCTGTCTCAACCTTCCGAGTAGCTGGTACTACAGGCGCATGCCGCCATGCCCGGCTAATTTTTTTTTTTTTGTATTTTAGTTGAGATGGGGTTTCTCTGTGTTGTACAGGCTGGAATTTTTGTTTTGTTTTGTTTTGTTTTTTAATAGAGACAAGGTTTCACCAATGTTGGCCAGGCTGGTCTGGAACTCCTAACGTCAAGTGATCCACCCGCCTCAGCCTCCCAAAGTACTGGGATTATAGGAGTGAGCCACCACACTCGGCCTTCCCCATATATTTTCTCCCATAATCAATGTAAATTAAAACAATTTATTTATTTACTTATTTTCTGAGATGGAGTCTCGCTCCACTGTTGCCCAGGCTGGAGTGCAGTGGCGCAGTCTTGGCTCACTGCAAGCTCCACCTCCTGGGTTCACGCCATTCTCCTGCCTCAGCCTCCCGAGTAGCTGGAACTACAGGCGCCTGCCACCACGCCTAGCCAATTTTGTTTTTTGTATTTTTTAGTAGAGACGGGGTTTCACCATGTTAGCCAGGATGGTCTCGATCTCCTGACCTCGTGATCCGCCCATCTCGGCCTCCCAAAGTGCTGGGATTACAGGCATGAGCCACCATGCCCGGCCACAATTTATTATTTTTAAAACAAGGCCGGGTGTGGTGGTTCATGCCTGTAATCCCAGCACTTTGGGAGGCCAAGGTGGCAGGATCACCTGAGGTCAGGAGATTGAGACCAGACTGACCAACATGGAGAAACCTCATCATTACACGCCATTACAGGCGTGGTGGCACATGCCTGTAATCCCAGCTACTAGGGAGGCTCAGGCAGGAGAATCACTTGAACCCAGGCGGCGGAGGTTGCAGTGAGTCAAGATGGCGCCATTGCACTCCAGCCTGGGCAACAAGAGCGAAATTCCATCTCAAAAACAAAAAAAAACAAAAAAAACAGGCCTGGCGCGGTGACTCATGCCTGTAATCCCAGCACTTCGGGAGGCCAAGGCAGGCGGATCACCTGAAGTCAGGAGTTCAAGACCAGCCCAGCCAACATGAAATAACCCTGTCTCTACTAAAACTACAAAAATTAGCCAGGCGTGATGGCACATGCCTGTAATCCCAATTACTTGGGAGACTGAGGCAGTAGAATCGCTTGAACCTAGGAGACGGAAGTTGCAGTGAGCCAAGATCGTGCCACTGCACTCCAGCTTGGGCAACAGAGTGAGACTCTGTCTCAAAACAAAACAAAACAAACAAACAAACAAAAAACCCAGAATACTTTCAGAATGAGAAATTATATAGAAATGAAAATCGGTGGGAAAATCCCATTCAAAGTATTAGCATAACCAATACATAATGGTTACCTGAATTAGAGGTGTGGGAGGTGTGTGTGTGTGTCTGTGTGCACGTGCCCAGCATGTGCATGCATGCTTGGGTTTAATTTGGAACTCTGATCTTGCTAACTCCAAAAAGGATTTGAAGAAAAACCAAAAGTGACCCAAAGTTTGCTTCTTTTGACCATAAACACGCCAACAAATAATCATCTGATAATGTGCATCAGTAAAACTGAAGGAGTGTAACATGAAACCTGACCTGTAGTGACAGTCAGCTCGAACACAGAGTTTCCACTCGTGCTGGAAAACCCACCACTCCTCTTTCCATTCTTCGAAGACCTTCCGTAGTAATCGCTGCTCATAGTAAAATCTACGGCAAAAAAAAAATCATATATATATATGATGATGTTGGAGCTAACATCTCTTCCCAAATCACATATTCTTGCCGTCTCATGAAAAAGTACAGCCGGGCGTGGTGGCTCACACCTGTAATCCCAGCACTTTGGGAGGCTGAGGCGGGTGGATCACAAGGTCAGGAGATCGAGACCATCCTGGCTAACATGGTGAAACCCCGTCTCTACTAAAAAAAAAAAAAAAAAAAAGTAAACATCGGTCGGGCGCAGTGCCTCACACCTGTAATCCCAGTACTTTGGGAGGCCAAGGCGGGTGGATCACAAGGTCAAGAGATCCTGGCCAACATGGTGAAACCGCATCTCTACTAAAAATGCAAAAATTACCTGGGCATGGTGGCACGCACCTGTAGTCCCAGCTACTCAGGAGGCTGAGGCAGGAGAATTGCTTGAACCCGGGAGGCAGAGGTTGCAGTGAGCTGAGACTGCACCACTGCACTCCAGCCTGATGACAGAGCAAGACTCCCTCTCAAAGAAAAAAAAGAAAAAGTAAACACCAAGATAGATTAAAAATAGAGGCCAGGCATGGTGGCTCATGCCTGTAATACCAACACTTTCAGAGGTCAAGGTAGGAGGACTGCATGAGGCCAGGAGTTCAAGACCAACCTGGGCAACATAGCAAGACTCCATCTAGGGCTGGATGTGGTGGCTTATGCCTGTAATGCCAGCACCTTGGGAGGCTGAGGTAGTTGGACTGCTGGAGTTCAGGACCAGGTTGGGTGACATGGTGGAACCCAATCTCTACAAAAAATAAAAAATTAGCCAGGCATAGCGGGGGCATGCTCTTGTAGTCCCAGCTACCTGGGAGGCTGAGGTGGGAGGATCGCTTGAGCCCAGGAGGGAGAGGTTCCAGTGAACTGAGATTGCACCACTGTACTCCAGCCTGGGCGAAAGAGTAAGAGCCTGTCTCAAATACATTAAAAAAAAAAAAAAAAAAAAAAAAGCTGGACACGGTGGCTCACACCTGCAATCCCAGCACTTTGGGAGGCCGAGGCAGGTGGATCACAAGGTCAGGAGTTCGAGACCAGCCTGGCCAGCATAGTAAAACCCGATCTCTACTAAAAATACAAAAATTAGCCAGGCATGGTGGTGCACGCCAGTAGTCCCAGCTACTTGGGAGGCTGAGACAGGAGAATCGCTTGAACCAGGGGGCAGAGGTTGTGGTGAGCCGAGATCGAGCCACTGCACTCCAACATGGGCAACAAAGTGAGACTTCGTCTCAAAATAAAATAAAATTAAATTAAATTAAATTAAATTAAATTAAATTAAATTAAAAACTCCATCTCTACCCAAAAAATAAGAAAAAAAAATGTGTGACAATGTCTTACTGTATTACCCAAGCTGTTCTCAAACCCTTGGGCTCAAGTAATCCTCACCTGAGCCTCCCAAAATGCTGGGATTACAGACATGAGCCACTGTACCCAGCTCTACAAATTTTTTTTTTCTTTTTTTTTTGAGACGGAGTTTTGCTCTTGTTGCCCAGGTTGGAGAGCAATGGTGTGATCTCGGTTCATCGCAACCTCTGCCTCCCGGCTTCAAGCGATTTCCCTGACTCAGCCTCCTGAGTAGCGGGATTACAGGCATGTGCCATCACGCCCAGCTAATTTTGTAATTTTAGTAGAGATGGGGTTTCTCCATGTTGGTCAGGCTGGTCTCAAACTCCTGACCTCAGGTGATCTGCCTGCCTCGGCCTCCCAAAATGCTGGGATTATATGCCTGAATCACCACATCCAGCCCCCCCTAAATTTTTTTAGTTAGCCAAGTATGGAGGCACGCACCTGTGGTGTCAGCTATTCCAGAGGCTTACGTGGGAGGATCGCTTGAGCCCCAGAGGTCAAGGCTGTAGTGAGCCGTGAATGTGTCACTGCACTCTGGTCTGTGCAACAGAGCAAGACCTTGTCTCTTAAACAATCAAAAAAACTTAAAAAGAGGGAAAATAGATATATTTGGCTTTTTCAGGTCAGAATCTCAGAGCTACTTAAACTAGAAATGAGGTTAAAAATTTTTTAATATTGATTTTACCGATTAAAGATGTTAAAGTAAAATAAAAATCTGACTTTTTTTTGGAGACAGGGTCTCGCTCTGTTGCCCAGGCTGGAATGCAGTGGTACAGTCATGGCTCACTGCAGCCTTAACATCCCAGGCTCAAGTGATCCTTCCACCTCAGCCTCCCAAATAGCTGTGACTACAGACATGCTCCACTACTATGCCTGGCTAATTTTTTATTTTTTGTAGAGGCACGGTTTCACTATGTTACCCTAGCTAGTCTTGAACTCCTGAGCTCAGGTGATCCTCCTCCCTTGGTCTCCCAAAATCTGACTTTTCAAACACCATGAAGTGAATTGAAAATTATTATTTTTAATTTTTTTCATTCACCAGAATGAAAAATATTTTTATTACTAAAAAGTAGTAATGTCTTATTTACAAACATAGGAAATTAAACTTATAAAATAAGTAAATGCCTAATAATATTCCTAGTACTTAACAGGAACACAGGATATTAATTTAGCTGAAATCTGAAGAGGGGAGTCATAACAACAGCAAAAGATGAGTAAGAGAAATTAGTCAGGAAAAAGGTAATAAGGAACACAGAAAAGCAGTGACAGATGGTGCTGATTTTTTAAAAATTTTTTTGAGACAGTCTTGCTATATCACCCAAGCTGGAGTGCAGTGGCATGATCTCTGCTCACTGTAATCTCCACCTCATGCATTCAAGTTATTCTCGTGCCTCAGTCTCTTGAGTAGCTGTGACTCCAGGCACACGCCACCCAAACGAGCTAATTTTTTGTATTTCAGTAGAGACGGGTTTTCGCCATGTTGCCCATGCTGGTCTTGCACTCCTGAGCTCAGACAATCTGCTGACCTTGGCCTCCCAAAGTGCTGGGATTACAAGCATGAGCCACCACACTGGCCTGTCAATCACTTTAAATTTCTTTTCATGGTTCTGCAGGTTACTAACATGTCACTCCTCCTAACCCACTCATAGTTTTTTTTCTTTTTTTTTTTTTTTTGAGATGGAGTCTCGCTTTGTCGCCCAGGCTGGAGTGCAGTGGCGCGATCTTGGCTCACTGCAAGCTCCGCCTCCTAGGTTCAAAGGATTCTCCTGCCTCAGCCTCCAGAGTAGCTGGGACTACAGGCGTGTGCCACCATGCCCAGCTAATTTTTGTACTTTTAGTAAAGATGGGGTTTTGCCACGATGGCCAGGCTGGTCTCGAACTCCTGAGCTCGGGTGGTCCACTGGCCTCAGCCTCCCAAAGTGCTGGGATTATAGGCATGAGCCACCATGCTCAATTCCACTCACGGTTTTTAAAAACTAGCTTACAAAGACATACATAAGGTAATTCACCTCACTATTGCTTATAATAATAATAAGAGAAGAGTGAACCACCACAAATACCCATCAAAAGAGGACAGGTTAATACAATTAATCAATGCCATGTGCTCATTTTCTATGAATGAAGCAGAGCTAAGGGTACTGAAGGGACAGATGCCTCAGAAAGTGATTAGGTGAAAAAATAAAGTCACTGCGTGGTATGTATAATATGGTATCTTTTTAAAAAAATTAGGTCACGCCTGTAATCCCAGCACTTTGGGAGGCCAAGGCGGGTGGATCATGAGGTCAGGAGATCGAGACCATCCTGGCTAACACGGTGAAACCCCATCTCTATTAAAAATGCAAAAAATTAGCCAGGTGTGGTGGCGGGCACCTGTAGTCCCAACTACTCAGGAGGCTGAGGCAGGAGAATGGCGTGAACCTGGGAGGCGGAGCTTGCAGTGAGCCGAGATGCGCCACTGCACTCCAGCCTGGGAGACAGAGTGAGACTCCGTCTCAAAAAAAAAAAAAAGAAAAAAAAAATTAAGTCAGGCACAGTGGCTCACACGTGTAATCCCAGCACTTTGGGAGGCCAAGGTGGGCAGATCCCTTGAGCTCAGGAGTTTGAGACCAGCCTGGCCAACGTGGCGAAACCCCATCTCTACCAAAAATACAAAAATTAGCTGGGCGTTGTGGTGCATGCCTGTAGTCCCAGCTACTTGGGAGGCTGAGGCACAAGAATTGCTTGAACCCAGGAGGTGGAGGTTGGAGTGAGCTGAGATCAGGCCACTGCACTCCAGCCTGGATGATATAGTGAGACTCTGTCTCAAAGAATGAATAAATAAATAAATAAATAATAGTATTTATATATATATTTTTGAGACAGAGTTTCCCTCTTGTCGTCCAGTCTAGAGTGCAATGGCACGATCTCAGTTCACTGCAACCTCCGCCTCCCGGGTTCAAGCGGTTCTCCTTCCTAAGCCTCCCATGTAGCTGGGATTACAGACATACACCACCATGCCCAGCTAATTTTTGTATTTTTAGTAGAGATGGGGTTTCACCATGTTGGCCAGGCTGGGCTTGAACTCCTGACCTCAGGTGATCCGCCTGCCGTGGCCTCCCAAAGTGCTGGGATTACAGGTATGTGCCACCATGCCCGGCCTATTTTTATGTATTTATAGCACCCATATGTTGGAATACATCAAATATACACACACACACACATTTGTGTACATATAAACAAGCATGTGTGTATGCATACATAAATGATTACATCATACACATTAAAAGCCTGAAAAGACTCCAGAATATCAAACTAATGCCAGTGGTTCTCTCTCGGGGGGTGGGGGAGAGATTATAGGAGACTGGCTCCTAAACTGTACATTTCTTTTTTTTTTTTTTTTTTTAAAGACGGGGTCTCACTCTGTCACCCAGGCTGGAGTGCAGTGGTGTGATCTCGGCTCACTGCAAGCTCCGCCTCCCAGGTTCACGCCAGTCTCCTTCCTCAGCCTCCGGAGTAGCTGGGACTACAGGTACCCACCACCATGCCCAGCTAATTTTTGTATTTTTAGTAGAGACGGGGTTTCACCATGTTAGCCAGGATGGTCTTGATCTCCTGACCTCGTGATCCGCCCACCTCGGCCTCCCAAAGTGCTGGGATTACAGGCGTGAGCCACTATGCCCAGCCTAAACTGTACATTTCTATAATATTTGAAAGACTGTTGAACAGATTTATTCACAATTCTTTTTTTTTTTTTTTTTTTTGAGATGGAGTCTTGTTCTGTTACCTAGGCTGGAGTGCAGTGGCACCACCTCGGCTCACTGCAACCTCTGCCTCCTGAGTTCAAGCAATTCTCCTGCCTCAGCCTCCTGAGTAACTGGAATTACAGGCACACCTGGCTAATTTTTGTATTTTTAGTACAAACGGGGTTTCACTATGTTGGCCAGGCTGGTCTTGAACTCTTGACCTTGTGATCCACTTCCACGGCCTCCCAAAGTGCTGGGATTACAGGCGCAAGCAACCACGCCTGGCCTACAATTCTAAAAAATTGTAATAAAAAGGAACCGTTTGCACATGGTGAAATGAACATAACCATTTACCTCCTTCCATTCCCCACGCCGCATTAAATAACAGCAAATGTATTCAAAAAGGTGTAAGCCTAAAAAGACCAAGAGAATAGGAGAAAGGGTGACAGACAAGAGCCGTCAACAAATTTTAGTCAATTTTAGGCAAGAGAGTGGCAGATGAATCACCAGATAAAGGAGAGAACTAAGTGTCTTCTTGTAGGGGGAGAAGGGAGACAAGAAGCACCCAGCTGGTGGCACAGGCCCCAGAAAGGGGTGGAAATGAGACGCATCAGGAGGCGAGGAGCTGTGGACTGAGATGAAAACACAGGACTGTTTGCAAGCCTATGTGTCAGAAGTGGTTAGGCCCCTGGATCCCATTATTCACTCATATTCACTCAAGCAAAGACTCAGGTATATCTCCGGAGAGGCGAGCCAGAGGAGAACTGGACTCCAGAATACTAGGCAAAGCTTGGGAGATGGTCCTAGACCAAAAGTCTACAAACTGAACAATGACACCCACCATCCCTTTCCCTGCTTGCAGCCAAGCTTATAATTAACACCTTCAGCTGGATGCAGTGTCATGTCTATAATCCCAGCACTTTGGGAGGCCAAGGTGGGTGGATCACTTGAGGGCAGTCCGAGACCGGCCTGGCCAACATGGCGAGACCCCCATCTCTACTAAAAATACAAAAATTAGCCAGGCGTGGTGGCGCATGCCTATGGTCTCAGCTACTTGGGAGGCTGAAGCAGGCAACTCGCATGAACCTGAGAGGTGGCGGTTGCAGTGAGCCGAGATCATGCCATTGCACTCCAGCCTGGGTAACAGAGTAAAACTCTGTTTAAAAAAAAAAAAAAAATGTAGGCTGGGCGCGGTGGCTCACGCCTGTAATCCCAGCACTTTGGGAGGTCAAGGTGGGTGGATCACAAGGTCAGGAGTTCAATACCAGCCTGGCCAAGAGGGTGAAACCCCGTCTTTACTAGTAACACAAAAATCAGCCAGGCATGGTGGTGGGCACCTGTGATCTCAGCTACTCAGGAGGCTGAGGCAGAAGAATTGCTTGAACCTGGGAGGTGGAGGTTACAGTGAGTCAATTGCGCCACTGCACTCTAGCCTGGGTGACAGAGTAAGACTCTGTCTCAAAAATAAAATAAAATAAAAATAAATAAATAAATAAAATAAAATAAAATATAAATAAATAACAAATTAAAAAATTAAAAAATTACCACCTTCATCTCAATCCCACCCCCCCACCCCGTGCCAGAAGGAGTTAGAGGGTATCTCTTTTGTCTGGGGAAAACTGATCAACCTAAGGGGAAAGGCCTTCAGAGACACAGACAGCTAGATTCCCTGGTGAAATCTGCCCCAAAAGCCTACAGTGAAGCCTTCAAGTTATAAGTCTTCATGCTTACATATAAAAGCTTCTGGCTGGGTGTGGTGGCTCACACCTGTAATCCCAGCACTTTGGGAGGCCGAGGTAAGGCAGATCACCTGAAGTCAGGAGTTTGAGACCAGCCTGACCAACGTGGTGAAACCCCATCTCTACTAAAAATTCAAAAAGTAGCCAGGCGTGGTGGTGCATGCCTGTAATCCCAGCTACTCTGGAGGCTGAGGCAGGAGAATCACTTGAACCCAGGAGGCAGAGGTTGCAGTGGGCTGAGATTATGCCATTGCACTCTAGCCTAGGCAAGAGTGAGACCCTGTCTCAAAAAAAAAAGGCTTCTAAAATAAGCTTTTTAGGGTCCTGCTCTTAAATATAAACAGACAATAAAGAATCTCTTGACATTTGAGGAAAGGCTCCAACATGACAGAGTGACCAAAAATACAAAGAAAAAAGGATCTTAGAAGAAACACAGTGTAAGCAGATAAAAATCTTAAACCACATTATCCTCAAAAAATTTTGAGCCTCCAGGATACTATTAAAAAGAAAGGAAACATGCAGAGAACAAAAGAAGCTTTTGGAAATTAAAAAGGGAACATGCAGAGAACAAGAACAAGCTCTCGGAAATTAAAAATATGACAGCAGAAATGAAAAACAAACTCAATAGGTGACACAAAAAGTTGGTTGGTCTTATAGACCACAGTAAGGACTCTGGGCTTTTACTTTCAGCAGGAAGCCACTGGAAGTTTGACAGAATGATGTGACTTGATTTACTCAGACTACCTCCTGAGAAGATACTGACTAGGGGCAAGACAGGAAGCAGGAGACCAATGAGGGGCCATTGGAGTCACTCGGGGGAGAGATGCTGATGGCTTGGACTGGGTGGTAGCTACTGGAGGTCTGAAAAGTGGCTGGATTCTGAATGCATTTTGAAGGTTGAAGCAACATGATTTTGGCATATGGCATTTTAAATTGGGGTGTGAAAGAACAAGAGGTGTGAAGGATGACTTCACCATTTCTGACCTGAGCACTTGGAAGGATGGAGTTTCCACTCACTGAGAGGGGGAGGATGACGATTTCAGTTTCGGGCATACTATGGTGTGACACCCAGTGGAGTTGTCACGTACGTAAAAGTCCAGAGTTTCAAGGCAGAGGTCTTGGCTGGGCATACACATCTGAGAATCACTGTGAGATTTAATGAGATTTTGGTTGTGAGGCAGCTAGAGAAGCAGTGCAAAGACTAGGTGTTGGGATATTCAGATGAGGAAGAATCAACAAAGGAGAGTTAGAAGGGGCAGTCAAACAGGTAGGAGAAAAAACACAAGAGGATGGTAACTAGAACCTGGGAGAAGAAAGGTATTCTAGAAGAAGGAAATGATGGACTCTCTAATGCTACCTGGTAGGTCAAGTTAAAGAAAGTTTAGGAATTCATCATTGATTTTAGCAAATGTAGTGACTTTAACAAAAACAGGAGAAATTCATCATTTGAAACACAGTAGAGGCTGCAGCAGTCAGGGACATTTCTGAAGTGAGGATCTTTGATGCCTAGGTGCTACCCAAGCCATATATGAAGCTACCTTAATATGTGAGTTGTGCCATTCACAGCAAAGTAGTTAGAAATCAATCTCATGAAGGCTGCTAGGACTGAATACCCACACCTCCATTTCGACCTGCAGGCGTTGCCCCATGACTCCCACTAAAACCCGTTAAGAAACTGTGTCCTTAAGGACTGAAGAAAAATTATTCTCCAGAGAAAAATAAAATGGAAATTGTACTTAAAAAAAAAAAAAAAAGGTTAAGGCTGGGTGCAGTGGCCCATGCCTGTAATCCCAGCACTTTGGGAGGCTGAGGTGGGTGGATCATCTGAGGTTAGGAGTTCGAGACCAACATGGTGAAACCCCGTCTCTACTAAAAATACAAAAAATAGCCGGCCATGGTGGCGCATGCCTGTGGTCCCAGCTACTTGGCAGGCTGAGGCAGGAGAATTGCTTGAACCCGGGAAGCGAAAGTTGCAGTGAGCCAAGATCGCGTCACTGCACTCCAGCCTGGGCAACAAGAGTGAAACTCGGTCTCAAAAACAAACAAACAAACAAAAAACAAAGCTAAAACATTATCTAAGCACATAAAGGCATTATTCTGTAGTTTGTGGTATGATATTATTCCCGCCTAACACTCCTAAAATTGAGAAATAAATAACTCAGTATGGAAAAAGCCTAAAAACAAAGATCAGGATGCCCAATGTTCCCCCAAGTAACAAAGAACCTACTTGATTTTAACAGATTGATATTTGATATTGATATATAGATATTAGAAAATAACTATCCCTTCACAAATTTCTAAGTCAATGGAAACACAGTATCAGAATTCTAATTCTGGTAGCTGCTTAGAAAACAAATATTCTCACTCTATCATTTTGTAATTTGCAAAACTGAGGCCTACAGGCGTAACTATCCTCAGATCAAACAATTAGCTAGGGCCTGGGTTAGAACCGAAGCTCAGGTCTCCTTAATTCTAGTCCAGTATTCTTTCCTCTACACCCGCCTACCACTGAAGAGCGAAGACATGAAAAACAGCATAATGCGAATGTTTTAAAGCAATGTAGCAGGTTAGCTAGCAGTCACTGGCTAACCCAACACCCACTGCCAAGCCCTTTTTCTCGTAAGTATCCACTACAGAGGCCAGAAAGATTTCTTTCCAAACCTCCTCTGTAGCTAAAGGTGGCCGGTGACAAAGCTCTGGCCAATGAGGCAGAAGCAGAATGCAGTGGGGAACTTCCAGGGAAGTTTTCTTTCCTGATAAAGAGATCAAACTGACGCCACCCTTACCCCCACCTTCCTGTGTAAAGCTAGAATAGTCATCTTGCAACTACGAAGTGTTACCTATGAGGACAAAGGGCCAATGTGCTAAGGATGTTGAACTAGAAAGGTACTAGAAGCCTGAGTCTAAAACGACATCACTGAACAGCTGAAGCAATACCAGTAACTGCCAATCTCCAGGTGGCTTGTTAAAAAAAAAGAAGTAAATCCCCTCATGCCTGTAATCCTAACACTTTGGGAGGCAGAGCAGGGAGGATCGCTTGAGTGCAGGAGTTCAAGACCAGCCTGGAAAACATAGTGAGACCCTGTCTCTAAAGGTAAAAAAAAAGTTAATTTTAAAAAAAAAAACAAAAAACAGAAAAAACAAATCTCAATTTGTTTCAGCCATTGTTAGGCTTTCTCTTAGAGTCAATGTACTTCTAACATACAATCAGCATTTCCCAAGGACTTGGAAGGCATTATTTGAAAAGAGGTTCCCAGTCAAATATGGGTCAAATATAGATAAATAAAATTGAGTAAAAAATAGATTTTAGGGCCGGGCATGGTGGCATATGCCTGTAATCCCAGCATTTTGGGAGGCCAAGGCAGGTGGATCACTTGAGGTCAGGAGTTTGAGACCACTCTGGCCAACAGGGTGAAACCCCGTCTCTACTAAAAACACAAAAAATTAGCAGAGCATGGTGGCGTGCACCTTTAATCCCAGCTACTCAGGAGGCGGAGGCAGGAGAATTGCTTGAGCCCAGAAGGTGGCGGTTGCAGTGAGCCAAGATCGTGCCACCGCACTCCAGCCTGGGCAACAAGAGCAAAACTTCGTCTCAAAAAATAAATAAATAAATAAAACGGATTTTAGGAAAATAGTGGAGGTAGCAACACAGTTTTCAATCTTTGGATCCCCGAGTAGCATCTGAGGAACCTAACAACAGGAGAACCCTAAAATAGCCAATGAGCTGTTGTTGGAAGGTACAGAGGCCCAATTTAAGACCAGCAGCTGAAACTATGAGTTTTATCCTCTCCAGCACGAGGGCTCACATAAGAACTGAAACAGCTAGAGCAGTCCAGCCCCTAGGGAATCTCAAAACTCATCTGCCAGGGTACCCTTCTAGGACAGGGCTTCATATGGAGGAGAAACAGCCACGGGTAGAAAAAAATTTGAGCAGGAGAGGGTCAAAAGAGACAAGGAAAAAGAAAATCCAGACCAAGTGTGGTAAGGGAACAAAACCAGGATACCCCATTAAAAAAGCCACTATATTTTTGAACCCTAAACAAAAACAACAGAAGAAGGAGTTCTATGAAATTAGTAAAACTTAACCGAACCTTGACTCACTCTAAAAGTTCAGTATAATAAGGCAGGTGTGGTGGCTTGTGCCTACAGTCTCAGCTACTTGGGAGGCAGAGGCAGAAGGATTAATTGAGCCCATGAGTTCAAGGCTGCAGTGAGCTATGATCACACCACTGCAGGGCAATACAGCGAGACCTCGTCTCTAAAAAATATATAAAGACATATAAATTTAAAAACTAAAATTCAGGAAAACTAATTTCACATAAAAATAAGCAATAAAATTAGCCGGGCATGGTGGTGCACGTCTGTAATCCCAGCCACTTGGGAGGCTGAGGCAGAGGCAGGAGAGGCAGTAGAATTGCTTGAATCTAGGAGGCAGAGGTTGCAGTGAGCCAAGATCGCGCCACTGCACTCCAGCCTGGGCAACAGAGCGAGACTCTGTCTCAGCAAAAAGAAAAAAAAGAAAAAACAAAAAAAAGGTCAGGCGCGGTGGCTCATGCCTGTAATCCAAACACTTTGGGAGGTTGAGGGCGGGCGGATCACAAGGTCAGGAGTTCGAGACCAGCCTGATCAACATGGTGAAATGCTGTCTCTACTAAAAATACAAAAACTAGCTGGGTGTGGTAGCACGCATCTGTAATCCCAGCTATTTGGGAGGCTTAGGCAGGAGAATCGCTTGAACCCGGAAGGCAGAGGTTACAGTGAGCCGAGATCGCGTCATTGCACTCCAGCCTGGGCAACGGAGCAAGCAACACTATGTCTCAAAAAAAAAAAAAAAAAAGCAATAAAAAAGCATTTGAGGCCGGGCACCGTGGCTCATGCCTGTAATCCCGGCACTTTGGGAGGCTGAGTTGGGCAGATCACCTGAGGTCAGGAGTTCAAGACTAGCCTGGCCAACAAGGTGAAACCCTGTCTCTACTAAAAATAAAAAAGTTAGCTGGGTGTGGTGCCTGTAGTCCCAGCTATGTGGAAGGCTGAGGTAGAAGAATTGCTTGAACTCAGGAGGCGGAGGTTGCACTGAGCTGAGATCATGGCACTGCACTCCAGCCTGGGCAACAGGGTGAGATGCGGTCTCAGGAAAAAAAAAAAAAAGCATTTGAAGTTATATGAGGAAAGAAGATAAGGAGCAGAATAACACATATATAAACACAAGTATGCCAGAAGATTTGTCCACAAAAAAGAAAAAAAAAAACCTTGTTTACAATCTCAAAATGAGATAAAAGATTATAAGAAAATAAATTCCAAGCTTCTGAAAACTAAGACAAGCAATGAATCTTCAAAAGAGCAAAAATTAGACTAACAGCTTAGAAATGGAAGCCATAGGACAGTGATGGAATATCTTTGAGGTGCTGGGAAAAAACCAGCAGCCCAGACTTTCATACCCAGTGAAAATATCCTTCCAAGGTGAAGATGGAATTAGACAAAATATGAGAGAATTTCTCACTAGCAGACCTACCCGAAAGAGAATACCCTGGGACGTTCTGATAGGAGAAGGAAAATTATCACAGATAGAAACCTGGAGATGTGAGAAGAAAGAAAAAAGGCAACAGAAAGGGTAAATATTTGTTGTAATGTTAGGGCAAAAAAAGAAAAACAAATGAAAAAGGAAGGGTAAGTAGGGTAAATATGTGAATAAATCTAAATAAATATTGGCTATATAAAATGAGAATAATAGGCTGGGCACAGTGGCTCAGGCCTGTAATCCCAGCACTTTGGGAGGCCGAGGTGGGTAGATCACCTGAGATCAGGAGTTCAAGACCAGCCTGGCCAACATGGTAAAACCTTGTGCCACTGCACTGCAGCCTGAGCGACAGAGCGAGACTCTGTCTCAAAAAATAAAATAAAATAAAATGAGAGTAATAATGCTTTATAGATTTAAAAATATACACAAAGAGAGGGAGATGGGCAGAGCTAAAGTATTCTAAGGACTCTGTCTTATCTAGGAAGAGGGTAAAGAACCAATTAACATTAGATTCTGGTAAGTTACAAATATACATTTGTATTTGAATGAAAATACACATTCACATTTGTAACTTATCTGGACAGTCAGTAAAGGAAGAGTAAAACAGAATATAACTTCTAAGCTAACAGTGGAGAATAGAATATGCAATAAATTAAACAAAAAAGAGAGAATTCTGACAATAGCAATTTAGATCAATTCTCCCAATGAACAACAAAAAAAGCAGAGCAAAAAAATTTATTTAAGGCACTGAAGAGCTACCAAGGCAGTGAAGGATGACATGCCCAAGATTCAGAAGAAGGTAAAATAGAGGTGAACAATGCCTAGCACTTGCAGCTGGGACAGGCTACAGCTGAAAACAAGGGAGTAACATGATCAGCTCAGCTGCCCTGCTTGCTTTTGGTCGCTGCTTGTTTCTTTTTTTTTTTGTTTCTTTTTCTTTGAAGCTGAAGGCCACACCACTGAACGCTACAACTTTTTTGAGACAGATTCTCTGTTGCTCAGGCTGGAGTACAGTCACATGATCTCGGCTCACTGCAACCTCGGCCTCCCGGGTTCAAACAATTCTCCTGCTTCAGCCTCCCTAGTAGCTGGAATTACAGGCACCTGCCACCATGCCTGGCTAATTTCTTTGTATTTTCAGTAGAGACAAAGTTTCACCATGTTGGCCAGGTTGGTTTCAAACTCCTGACCTCAAGTAATCCGCCTGTCTTGGCCTCCCAAAGTGCTAGGATTACAGGCAGGAGCCACCACGCCCGGCCCGAACACTAAAACTTAACCTTCATTGGCTACTTTGTAGATAACATTCATAGGTCACCATGGCAATGGTCACTTCAGTTATTCTTCAGGAAACCTGGGCTAGCTCCTGTACAGTTCAAACTGATAGAGACCACCAACCCTTCAACTGGGCCTGTGAAGGAGCCCGAGAGGGACTTTTGATGCCTGAGGGCCAAAAACTCCACCCTTGGATCATGTTAACGCCTCTATTTTCTGTACACGTGTCCTATGACATGCCATGAACCCTGACTACACTTGTGTGCAATGAATGTTACTGCATTTTCCCCACTGCCAATCACCTTTCCCCACACCTTAAACCACCCCAATTCCCTAACCCACAAATATCCCTAAGGCTTATCTTTGGGGAGGCCGGTTTGAGACCTGTTCTCCTACCTCCTCGCTCAGTGGCCTTGCAAGTAAGTTTTTTCTCTTTTGCAAAACCTGTGTCACAGTGATTGATTTACCACACATGGGCAGAATGGACCTAGACCTGGCCAGTAACATAGCCACATCAGGAGCTTCACTGTAAACATACAAAAAGGAAGAGATGGAACAGCAGGGCCCCTCATAAAGTATACAAAGAAAAGATTTCAGAAAACACACACAGGCCAAGTTGGCTTGAGAGACATTGAATGAAGGAGTCAGACTGTCAAAAAATGAAACAGGAAAGATTACAGTAAGGGAAAGAAAAGGGGAAGAGGGGAGCAGGAGGGAACCCAAGACATTTCAGTTTTTAAGAAGTGCTTACATTCTCAAAGGCTGCCAATTCTCCTTTGGAAACATACCTCGCACTGGTCCCTTCTCTCCAGCTCCCCTGCCTTCTGTATGGTGTCCCTGACTCCTGTGACTCTCTCTTGCAGTCCACTCTTAGCACTGCAGCTAAAGCAATTATAACCCAAAACCACAGCAATGGGCAGCACTGGTCTATACAAAATGAAGCTATGACAGAGGAATTTGCTCCTCACTAAAATTTCATTTCCTTTGCCAAAGCCAATTTTTTCCCCCAGGTTCTGCACTTGATCAAGCCAATCTGTCAGTCTCACCAGTGCCCTGAAAGAGCTCAATTACTTCTCTTGGGCAAACACTTTTCCCAGAGAGATCTTATCTATCCTGATTTACTTAAGTATGATTCTTTTTTATTCTTATTTTTATTCATTTATTTTTTTTTTGAGATGGAGTTTCACTCTGTTGCCCAGCCTGGAGTGCAATGGCGCGATCTCGGCTCACCACCACCTATGCCTCCAGGGTTCAAGTGGTTCTCCTGCCTCAGCCTCCCGAGTAGCTGGGATTATAGGCATATGCCACCATGCTCAGCTAATTTTTTTTTTTTTTTTTTGAGAGGGACTTTCGCTCTTGTTGCCGAGGCTGGAGTGCAACTGTGCAATCTTGGCTCATCGCAACCTCCGCCTCCAGGGTTCAAGCAATTCTCCTGCCTCAGCCTCCCAAGTAGCTGGGATTACAGGCATGCGCCACCACGTCCGGCTAATTTTGTATTTTTAGTAGAGACGGGGTTTCTCCATGTTGGTCAGGCTGGTCTCAAACTCCCGATGTCAGGTGACCCGCCCACCTTGGCCTCCCAAAGTGCTGGGATTACAGGCATGAGCCACCATGCCTGGCTGCTCGGCTAATTTTTGTAGAGACGGGGTTTCACCAGGTTGGCCAGGCTGGTCTCGAACTCCTAACCTCAGATGATTCACCCGCCTCGGCCTCCCAAAGTGCTGGGTTTACAGGCGTGAGCCACGGCGCCCTGCCTGATTCTTTCATTTGGTCACTTGCTTGTTATTTTTTTTTCTTTCTTTTTCTTTGAAGCTGAAGGCCACAGTAGCTAGCTAAAGGCCACACCACTGAACACTAAAACTTAACCTTTACTGGCTACTTTGTAGATAACATTCACAGCTCACCATGAATGCAGCTGCAGTCAACTAACAGATATGAAGTTACCACTGTATTACATGGTTATATTAGGGACTGCTTCTACCTACTGGAGGCTGGGGAGGAATGTAACAGCACAAGCCATAATGAAGTTTATATACAGGCTTAATATAAAAGAAAACCCTAGAATGAACTCAACACAATTATGTTGTTCTGAGCTAATACTACCTGGCTTTAGAGGGAAATACTCTTCCAAAAGTCATTCGAATCCATAAATATAAGAACTTTCTGGCCACGCATCTGAAAGAAGGAAAAAAAGCATATACATATTTTAAAATTCCATTTGGCTTACATCAGCAGTTTTCTGGAAAGGAAAGGAAGCCTTTAAGGTCTCAGCAGAGGGATGTTAGTATGAATCAAAAGGCGGTATCATAGCTAATTTTGCATCATACAGGGCATAGGATGGGGCAGATTTATAAAGCTAAAATCAAGCAGATTATTTTTAAAAAATATTTTCAACATAAATTGTCAGTGAAGAGATTAAAAACTTCAAAAATGAGGTACAGGAAGTACATAATAATTCTTTTGTTCATATTATTCTTCCTGCCTAAAATGGCCGGCAAATGCCTGAACCTTCTCCAATGTAAACAGAGTGAGTAGCTGTGTACTCTCAGCACTCTGTTCAAACCCCTCCTGTAATGTTATGACACCATATCACAGAGATCAGCTCACAGGGTGTCTGTCATTCCCTCTGCACTGTGAGCCCCTGAAAGCAGAAATTGGTGCTTTATAGTACCTCCAGTACCTAGCACAGTGTCTGGTATACACACAAAGGTGGCTTGTCTTTTTTTTTTTTTTTTTTTTTTTTGAGACAGAGTTTTGCTCTGTCGCCCAGGTTAGAGTACAGTGGCCCAATGTCTGCTCACTGCAAGCTCCGCCTCCTGGGTTCACACCATTCTCCTGCCTCAGCCTCCCGAGTAGCTGGGACCACAGGCACCCGCCACTGCACCTGGCTAATTTTTTGCATTTTTAGTAGAGACCAGGTTTCACCATGTTAGCCAGGATGGTCTCGATCTCCTGACCTCATGATCCACCCGCCTCGGCCTCCCAAAGTGCTGGGATTACAGGTGTGAGCCACCGCGCCCGGCCTTGTCTTTTTTTTTTTTTTTTTTTTTTTTTTTTTTTTGAGATGGAGTCTCACTCTGTCGCCCAGGCTGGAGTGCAGTGGTGTGATCTCGGCTCACTGCAACCTCCACCTCCTGGGTTCACGCCATTCTCCTGCCTCAGCTTCCAGAGAGTATCTGCGACTACAGGCACCTGCCACCACGCCCAGTTAATTTTTTGTATTTTTAGTAGAGACGGGGTTTCACTGTGTTAGCCAGGATGGTCTCGATCTCCTGACCTCGTGATCCACCCGCCTCGGCCTCCCAAAGTGCTGGGATTACAGGCGTGAGCCACCATACCCGGCCAAAGGTGGCTTGTCTTATAGAGTTAAACCTTGAGCTCAACTTAAAACACACCTTCTCCTGCCCTTTATCTGGCTTATTCTTACATTATCCTTCAGGGCTGAGCTTAAACTCCACTTCCTCCAGAGAGTAACTGCTGGCTATACTAGTGTGGCTGTTCTCGCCGTATTTGCCTGTGGTACCACATCCTTCTCCTCTCATTGCACTAATCTCACTTTATTGTTGTGGCTTAAGAGTCTATCAAGCCTACCTGATTTTAAACTCTCATTAAGTCATAAACCAAGATGATCTTACTCACTTTATATGCTCAGCATCTAGCGTAACACCTGGCATGGGTAAGCACCAGATAAATCTGTTGTTGTTGTTCTGAGACAGAGTCTCACTCTCGCCCAGGCTGGAGGGCAGTGGAGCAATTTCAGCTCACTGCAACCTCGGCCTCCCAGGTTCAAGCGATTCTCGTGCCTTAGCCTCCCAAGTAGCTGGGATTACAGGCATGTGCCACCACACCCAGCTAATTTTTTGTATTTTTAGTGGAGACGGGGTCTCAAACTCCTGACCTCAGGTGATCCACCTGCCTCGGCCTCCCAAAGTGCTGGGATTACAGGTGTGAGCCACCGTACCTGACCTGATAAATTTTTGAATGAAGAAACAGATGTCTCTAATATATCTAATCGAGAGTAGCAGAAGTGTTACAGCTCTTCTAGAATTCACCAGAAAATCTGGGGGGAAAAAAAGAATAGCAAAAAAGAGTAGTTCCTTCTTTCTTGGACCACGTTTAGACTTTTTCTGGAAGAATCTTGATAGCGTCATATTGTGAGGCACAAGTGGAGAAATGAAAACACTCAATGACAGATTTTATGTCTGCAGGTTCCTGAATATCCTTTTCATCTGAACATTCTACTACCAAGAACAGGCATCAAGATCTCCCACTAATTGCGGTGGAAGAATAAGAATCATTCCCCCATTTTAACCAAGAAAGGAGAACAAAAGCAAAGTACCCATAGACTGGTGGCCACTCATAAGCTCACCTGATGCGCAGTTCTCTTAACCGGCCCTGTCGGGTACAAGTATGTGTGCCACGATACTGCACTAGATGACTGGTACTAGGTAACTCCCTCCGGATCCCAAAGGATGCAGAAGACTTCTTGTTGGACAGTGTCTTTGCAGAATAAGGTTTCTTAACTGCACCATCCTTAAAATACCTTAAATTTGAGGACGAAAGAGGCAAGGAGAGAATAAAGTTATCTCTGCATGTGATGCAAATACTTTTAATATACAAGCAAAATTAAACAGATAAGCTCATTGAGACTGACAATACCTATGCTGCAAGGATAATAAGCAGCCCAATCTGACAGAAATATTGGCCAACCACTAGAGGTGGGTACTGCTGGGTCAGCTCTAGGCAGGAACTACAGAGCTGGAGGGCACCCCCTGGAGTCATTAGGCCTAACACAGTTTTCTTTTGTTTGAGACAGGTTCTTACTCCGTTGCCCAGGCTGGATTGCTGTGGCATGACCACAGCTCACTGCAGCCTCGACCTCCCAGGCTCAAGTGATCCTCCCATCTCAGCCTCCCAAGCAACTAGGCAACTAGGACCACAGGTGCTCGCCACTGTGTCCTGATAATTTTTTTTTTTAAGAGATGAGGTCTCACTGTGTTGCCCAGGCTGGTCTTGAACTCCTGGGCTCAAGGAATCCTCCTACCACATCCTCCTGAGTAGCTGACACTACAGGCATGCACCACCATGACCAGCTAACTTTTTATTTTTATTATTTTTTTGAGATAAGGTCTTACTCTGTTGCCCAGGCTGGAGTGCAGTGGCGCGATCTCAGCTCGTTTAACCTCCGCCTCCCGGGTTCAAGCAATTCTCCTGCCTCAGCCTCCCTAGTAGCTGGGACTACAGGCACCCACTACCGTGCCCAGCTAAGTTTTGTATTTTTATTAGAGACGGGGTTTCACCATGTTGGCCAGGCTGGTCTTGAACTCCTGACCTCAGGTTATCCACCCACCTCGGCCTCCCAAAGTGCTGGGATTACAGGCTTGAGCCACTGTTCCCGGCCAATTTTTTATTTTTATTTTTTTAGAGACAGGGTCTCACTATATTGCCCAGGCTAGTCTCAAATTCCTGGGCTCAAGTAATCCTCTTGCCTCAACCCCCCAAAGGGGTGGCATTACAGACATGTACCACTGTACCCGGCCTGATCTCATTCTTGATCTCTTGCTTCAGAATATCTGCACTGAGGGTAAAGCACACGTATGTACACACAAACACACACACAAAGTTTAATATACTTTTTAAAAAATTTTATTGTATTGTTTTCTTGAAATAGGGTCTTGCTATGTTGCCTAGGCTGGTCTTGAACTCCTGGGATTAAGCAATCCTCCCAACTAAGCCTTCCAAAATGCTGGCATTACAGGTGTGAGCTACCACAATCAGTCTCTTAGATTTTGTTTTTTAAGAACAATTCGAAGTTTACTGCAAAATTGTGAAGAACGAACAGACTGTTCCCACATACCCCTTTTTCTTTACACACACACAGCTGTATATGCTAAAATGAATATGTTTAAAGAAATGAAAGTCAAGAGTGAACATATTTGCAGGGCACGGGGTAACTATAAAAAGTAAGGTAGAAGCATTAATCACAACAGCCAAAAGGTAGAAGCAATCTAATTTTTTTTTTAAAGACAGGTTCTCAGCCAGGTACAGTGGCTCATGCCTGTAATCCCAGCACTTTGAGAGGCCGAGGCGGGAGGGTCACCTGAGGTCAGGAGTTTGAGACCAGCCTGGCCAACATGGCGAAATCCCGTCTCTATTAAAAATACAAAAGTCAGCCGGATGTGGTGGCGGGTGCCTGTAATCTCAGCTACTTGGGAGGCTGAGGCAGGAGAATCGCTTGAACCCGGGAGGCGGAGGTTGCGGTGAGCCATGCCATTGCACTCCATCCAGCCTGGGCGACAGGACAGGACAAGACAGGACAGGAAGAAAGAAAAAAATAAAATTCCCTGATAGTTCCAACGTAGGTATTGATGGCCAGGCACGGTAGCTCAAGCCTGTAATTCCAGCATTTTGAGAGGCTGAGGCAGGCGGATCACCTGAGGTTAGGAATTTGAGACCAGCTTGGACAACATGGTGAAACCCCGTCTCTACTAAAAATACAAAATACAAAAATTAGCCGGGTGTGGTGGCACACGCCTGTAGTCCCAGCTACTCAGGAGGCTGGGGCACGAGAATCACTTGAACCCAGGGGGCAGAGGCTGCAGTGAACTGAATGCACTCCAGCCTGGGCGACAAAGTGACACTCTTGTCTCAACAACAACAACAAAACATAGGTATTGATATGGTTTAGCTGTGCCCCCACCCAAATCGCATCTGCAATTGTAGCTCCCATAATCCCCACGTGTCATGGGAGGGACCTCATGGAAGGTGATTAGATTATGGTGGTAGTTCCCCCATGCTGTTCTCATGATAGTGAGTAAGTTTCCACGAGATCTGATGGTTTTATATGGGGCTTTCCCCCACTTCACCCTGCACTTTCTTTCCTGCCGCCATGTGAAAAAGGACGTGTTTGCTTCCCCTTCCACCATGATTGTAAGTTTCTTGAGGCCTCTCTAGAAATGCAGAACTATGAGTCAATTAAACCTCCTTCCTTTATAAATTACTTATCTCAGATATTTCTTCATAGCAGCATGAGAATGCTCTAATACAGGTATCATATTTGAGTATGGTACTGTTCAGTGCTTTGCTTCTATAAGATTATCTAGTACTACTCCCAAAAAATAAAACTTAAATCTAATTAAGTCTCTAAATCCAGTTACCAATTTGCAGAAAAAGGTTGAGAACAGAGGACAGAAGAACATGCTAAAATGCACACAGGCCCTATAAAAATACCAGTGACATTCTTCACATAAATAGGAAAAACATCTTAAAAATTGTATAGGACCACAAAAGATCCCAAATAGCCAAAGTGATCCTCAGCAAAAAGAACAAAGCTGGAGGCATCACACCACCAGACTTCAAAATAAACCACAAAGCTGTAGTAACCAAAACAGCATGGTACTGGCATAAAAACAGACACATAGGCCAATGGAACAGAACAGAGAGTATCAAGTTATTAAGCTACTTTATCTATCTATCTATCTATCTATCTATCTATCTATCTATCTATCTATCTATGAATGACAGAGTCTCATTCTGTTGCCCCACTGGAATACAGTGATGCAATCACGGCTCACTGCATCCTTGACCTCCCAGATTCAGGTGATCTTCCCACCTCAGCCTCCTGAGGAGCTGCAACTACAAGTACATGCTACCACCTGGCTAATTTTTTGTAGAGATGGGGTTTTGCCACATGCGCAGGATGGTCTTGAACTCCCAGGCTCAAGTGATCCGCCTGTCCTGGTGTCCCAAAGTGCTGAGACTACAGGTGTGACCCATCGCACCCAGTGCCAATTTATTTTTGACAAAGGCTCCAAGAACATTGGGGAAAGGACACCCTCCTTAATAAATGGTGCTGGGAAAAGTGAGTATCTACATGCAGAAAAATGAAACTAGACTCCCCACCTCTCACCCTATACAAATATCAACTCAAAATGGATCAAAGACCTAAATGTAAGATCCAAAACTAGAAAGCTACGAGAAGAAATACTTCAAACGTCTAGGAAAAGATTTTATGAATAAAACATCAAAAGCACAGGCAACAAAAGCAAAAGTAAACAAAATGGGATAATCTCAAAAACTTCTGCTCAGCAAAGGAAACAATCAACAGAGTAAAAAGACAACCTATAGAATGAGATTACAGGCTGGGCGTGGTGGCTCATGCCTGTAATCCCAGCAGTTTCGGAGGCCAAGGCAGTCAGATCACTTGAGGTCAGGAGTTCAAGACCAGCCTGGCCAACATGGTGAAACCCCATCTCTACTAAAAATACAAAATTAGCTGGGCGTGGTGGCATGCACCTGTAATCCCAGTTACTCGGGAGGCTGAGGCAGGAGAATCGCTTGAACCTGGGAGGTGGTGGTTGCAGTGAGCCAAATTTGTACCACTGCACTCCTGACTGGGTGACAGAGTAAGACTCCATAAAAAAAAATGGGATTACAAATATTATAAAAAATATGTGCAAACTATCTGACAGAGGATTAATATGCAGAATATACAAAGAACTCAAACATCTCAACAGCAAAAAAAAAAAAAAAAATCCAATTAAAAAAGGGGCAACTTTGGGAAGCTGAGACAGGCAGATGGCTTCGGTCCAGGAATTTAACACCAGCCTGGGCAACACGGCAAAATCCTGTCTCTACAAAAAATTGGCCAAGCATGGTGGTGTGTGCTTGTAGTCCCAGCTACTCCGGAGGCTGATCTGAGAGGATAGCTTGAGCCTGGGAGGCAGAGGTTGCAGTGAGCTGAGATCCCACCACTGTACTCCAGCCTGGGTGACAGAGTGAGACCCTGTCTCAAAAAAAAAAAAGTGAGGGGAGCAAATTCTCTGAATAGACATTTCTCAAAAGAAGACATACAAATGGCTAACACATATACGAAGAAATGCTCAACATCACTATCAGGAAAATGCAAATGAAAACCACAATGAGGTGTCATCTTACTTGTTAGGTGACTGTTGTCAAAAAGACCAAAAAACATAACAAATGCTGGCAAGGAAGCAGAGAAAAGGGAACACTTTTTATTTTTATTTTTTTTGAGATGGAATCTCACTCTGTCGCCCAGGCTGGAGTGCAATGGCGCCATCTCGGCTCACTGCAACCTCCGCCTCCTGGGTTCAAGCAATTCTTCTGCCTCAGTCTCCCAAGTAGGTGGGACTACAGGTGCACGCCACCAAGCCCGGCTAATTTTTGTATTATTAGTAGACACAGGGTTTCACCATATTGGCCAGGCTAGTCTCGAATCCCTGACCTGGAGTGCAATGGCACAATCTCAAAAAAAAAAAAAAAAAAAGTAGTCCTTGCCATGGTGTGCTATTGTTGCAACTTAGGTTTAATACAAAAATCACTTGCTTAATCTACAAGGAACACTTATAATTGCCAATTAAAGAGTAGAATAGTAGAAATATATCAAGATTTGGAGTAAAAAAAAACACCCTGATTCCACAGATTTGAAGTTTATGGCAAATCACTTGATTTTTTCCTACCCTCAGTATCCTCCCCTGTAGATGGAGATAATATTGTTTGGGGTTGTGGGAATCAAAGGAGATAATGGACTTCACAGATTTGAAGTTTATGGCAAATCACTTGATTTTTCCTACCCTCAGTATCCTCCCCTGTAAATGGAAATAACATTGCTTGGGGTTGTGGGAATCAAAAGAGATAACGGACTTCACACTCTAAAGACAAACTGTTTACTATTCAGATACCTGAATTTCTAAGGTGTGATGATAGACTGGCTTATTCTTCAGGCTCAACTTCATAAAATAAATTTATGGAACCACAATACATATATTTAATTGTGTTAACTTGGAAATTAAAACTGGATTTTTTCCTCCTGATTTGGGAAAGTGGTTTCTAATTTCTAAAACATAACATCATCAGTTTATACATTTACACTGAAGGTGGGTGAGACTCTGGCCAAATACTGGTCATTTGTAAATGGCCCTCCTTAACAAGACAATCTGTACAGGAAATTACATTATAAAAAGAAAATATCATTGTATTTACTGGCAGTAGAAGGAATGTGAAGGAGAAAATAATTATCTATTACTACAATGAGATATGTATCCTATGGCCTGAATTTTCTGCTTTAAAAATATTTATTTTCTTATTATAAAAGCAATACAGCATATGTCCACAGAAAAACTTGTACACAATGTTCACAGCAGCATAATTCACAATAGCCAAAAGGTGGAAACAACCCAGATGTTCATAAACTGATAATGGATTTAAAAAATGGCGTACAGTTCACAATGGAATATTATAGAGCTATAAAAAGGAATAAGGCCGGGTGCTGTGGCTCACACCTGTAATCCCAGCACTTTGGGAGTCCCAGGCGGGTGGATCACAAGGTCAAAAGATCAAGACCATCCTGGCCAACATGGTGAAACCCCGTCTCTACTAAAAATACAAAAATTAGCTGGGCATGGTGGCACACGCCTGTAGTCCTAGCTACTTGGGAGGCTGAGGCAAGAGAATCGCTTAAACACGGGAGGCAGAGGTTGCAGTGAGCTGACATCACACCACTGCACTCCAGCCTGGTGACAGAGCGAGACTCCATCTCAAAAGAAAAAAAGGAATAAAATTCTGATACAGAAACCTTGAAAACACTATGCTAACTGAAATAAGCCAGACACAAATGGAAAAATGTCGTATGATTCCACTTACATGAGGTACCTAGAACAAGCAAATTCTTAGAAACAGAAAAGTATAATAAAGGTTATAAAGGGTTAGGGTAGGAGGAATGAGGAGATACCATTTAATGAATACAGAATTTCCACATGGGATGATGAAAAGTTTTGGGTATGGATAGTGGTGATGGTTACACATTGTCAATGTACTTAATGGTACTAAATTGTACACTTAAAAACAGTTAAAATAGGCCAGGCGTGGTGGCTCACGCATGTAATCCTACCACTTTGGGAGGCTGAGGCAGGTGGATCAGGAGTTCGAGAGCAGCCTGGCCAACATGGTGAAACACTGTCTCTACCAAAAATACAAAAATTATCTGGGCATGGTGGCACGCGCCTGTAATCCCAGCTACCTGGGAGGCTGAGGCGGGAGAACAGCTTGAACCCGTGAGGTGGAGGTTGCAGTGAGCAGAGATTGTGCCACTGCACTCGAGCCTGGGCGACAGAGCAAAAGTCCATCTCAAAAAAAAAAAAAAAAAAAAAGGCCAGGTGTAGTGGCTCACACTTGTAATCCTAGCACTTTGGGAGGCCAAGGCAGGTGGATCCCTCGAGGCCAGGAGGTCAAGACCAGTCTGGCCAACATGATGAAACCCCGTCTCTACTAAAAATACAAAAAGTTAGCCAAGCATGGTGACGCATGCCTGCAGACCCAGCTACTTGGGAGGCTGAAGCACAAGCAGCACTTGAACCTAGGAGGTGGAGGTTACAGTGAGCCAAGATCACGCCACTGCCCTCCAGCCTGGGCAACACAGTGAGACTGTCTCAAAAAAAAAGAAAAAAAAAGGTTAAAATAAAATAGTAAGTTTTTTGTTATGTATACGTTACCACACACACACAAAACATAAACTCTCTGGGCAGTTTCAATCACCGTGCCATGAAGCAGTAGGTGGTAGGATCTCACTGTGTGTCTGACTAGCCCTTTCTCTGCCTTGTTTGAGCTTTGACAGAATTTGCAAGGGTGGCGTTAAGGCTGAGCAGGACACTGGAAAGGCCAGAACAAAGGTGGTTGTTTCCCGCTCACAGAGAGCCTCCTTACAGTTCCGGGTGGGCCATATTCATAGACAGACACCTCAAATGTAGGACGACCAGTCATGGATGTGTAGGGGCGTGACTGCCACTGTGAACAGTGCAGCCATCCTTGGATACCTCACTGCAGAGATACTTGAAGTGACATCAAAGGCACCAAAAGATTTAAAGGTAAAGCTATTACCCCTCATCATTTGCAACCTGCTATTAGTGAAGAAGAAGAATTGGACTCTCTCATCAAGGCTACAATTGCTGGTGATGGTGTCATTCCACACATTCGCAAGTCTCTGATTGGGAAGAAAGAACAACAGAAGACTATGTAAAGGATGCCTGTATTTCTTATTATCTCAGGTCTCTAATTAATCTAACAGCTCTAACAGTGTTGGTGATTCCAGGGGAATACAGGCATGCCCCATGACACCTGGCTAATTTTTAAAAATTTTTTTAGTAAAGACAAGGTCTCACTATGTTGCCCAGGCTGGTCTTGAACTCTACTTTTTTTTTTTTTTTTTTTTTTTTGAGACAGGGTCTGGCTCTGTTGCCCAGGCTGGAATGCAGTGGAACAATCACAAATTACACAGCCTTAGTCTCCCAGGCTCACGTGATCCTCCCACTTTAGACTCCTGAGCAGCTGGTACTACAGGCAAGCACTACCACACCTGGCTATTTTTTTTTTTTTTTTACTTTTTGTAGAGACGGGGTCTTACTATGTTGCTCAGGCTGGTCTCGAACTCCTGGACTCAAGGAATCCTCCCACCTCAACCTCCCAAAGTTCTGGGATTATAAGTGCCTGAGCCACCATGCCCAAATGGAAGTAGTGGATTTTGATTGAGATGACTATTTTTTTAGATACTCCCTGGATTTTAATTATGATGCAGAAGTTATATCAACAAACATTTGGTTTTGTACATATATTACTTTCCCTCTGGCAATAGAAGTCATACCCCAAACTAAAACAAAAAACAAAAAACCAACCCTCCGTGAGTATTAGAAAAGCCATTGAATTGCACACTTGAAATGAATGAATTGTGTAGTATGTGAATTATATCTCAATGAATTTTAAAAATAAAAAAGCAATATAGAACCATTTTAGGAAATCTGAAAAATGTTGGTAACTATAATGAAAACAATGAAAGTAGCTTATAATCCTGCTCAAAAAACCCACAAGCAAAGCTAAACTATACAGTGTTTAAGGATACACAGTTGGGTAATAAAACCGTGAAGAAAAGTGAGAAAGTAATTACCATTCAAGTCAAGCTAGTAGTTTACTCTCTGAGGGGCAGTCAGTGGGTTTGGAAGGAAGTTCAGAAATGACTGCCAAGGTCTTATCTTTTTTTTTTTTTTTTTAAACAGGTGGTGATTACAAAGGTGTCTGCCATATAATAATTCGCTAGGGCACCCACTTGTTTCATGCCGTTTTCTGTATTTGTGTTATATTTATCAGTAAATAATTTTTGGCCAGGCACGGTGGCTCATGCCTGTAATCCCAGCACTTTGGGAGGCTGAGGCGGGTGGATCACTTGAGCCCAGGAGTTCAAGACCACCCTGGGCAACAGGTGAAACCCCATCTCTACCAAAAATACAAAAATTAGCCAGTGTCATAACCCAGTCTCAAAATTAATTAATTAAAAGTTTAAAATAAAAAAACTTTTGGCCAGGCAGTGACTCATGCCTATCATCCCAGCACTACAGGAGGCCAAGGTGGGTGGATTGCTTAAGGCTAGGAGTTGAGATCAGCTGGGCAACACAGAGAGACCCCATCTCTACAAAAAATTAAAAAATTAGGCCGGGTGCAGTGGCTCACGGCTGTAATCCCAGCACTTTGGAAAGCCAAGGCGGGTGGATCACCTGAAGTCAGGAGTTGGAGACCAGCCTGGCCAACATGGTGAAACCCTGTCTCTACTAAAAATACAAAAAATTAGCTGGGCGTGGTGGCACACGCCTGTAATCCCAGCTACTCGGGGGGCTGAGGCAGGAGAATTGCTTGAACCCACGAGGCAGATGTTGCAGTGAGCCAAGATCATGCCACTGCACTCCAGCCTGGGCGGGAGAGCAAGACTGTGTCTCGGAAAAAAAAAAAAAAATTAGCCAGATGTGATGATGCATGCCTCTACTCCCAGCTACATGGGAGACTGACATAGGAAGATCACTTGAACCCAGGAGTTCAAGGCTGCAGTGAGCTATGATCATGCCACTGCACACCAGCCTGAGCGACAGAGCAAGACCCTGTATCAAAAAAAAAAAAAAATGGAAAATAAAAGAAAAAATGATAGATGCATAGTTCGCTGGTTTTCAGTCTTAATTCCTTTATAATACATGCATTTAATGCTATACATTAAATGCATTAAACCCATCATACATTCCTCTAAGCATGACTGTAGTTGTATTTCATATATTGATATGTAGTATTTTTATGAGCATTACAACGTATTTGCTAACTTCCATTACGATTTTTTCTTCAATCTTTATGCAAAAGGATGCAAAGCAAATCAACAAAGGGAAGAGGGGCACAGGGCATAGTCTGGAAGAAATCAAGCGCAAGCTTCCAAGAATCCTCTCCCAGCGGAATCACAAAGGACACTCTTAATTCCTCCGGCAATGAATTGTGATAACACGTGAGAAGTGTTGTGTATCAATGAAGCTTATTAGAGACTCAGTACCCAAGTTTTTACTGAGGGCTGGTCAGACAGGTACCCTCTGCCTAACACATACCAAAATTCCAGACTCCTAGAGGGAGTGCTAGTATTCAGCATAAACAACATTGCATGAACACACAACAGTGTAGGTCCAGTTAACTATTCATCAGTTAGGGAATGGTGGGAACCCTTCTGAAATCTAAGTTTCCAGACACCAGCCAAGGGTCAGCCTTGTAAGCAGTTATTTTCTAAGAACAGCAGCCACAAAGGGACGACAAACATAACAGAGAAGATCAAAGAGAAAAGCTGGTTCCTTAAAAAGACTAATACAGTTGACAGCCAGTGAAACTGACCAGGAAGAGAGAAAACCAAATAAATGAGGGTCAACTCTATATTTCTATAAACTAGCAATAAGGAAAAAATAGTTATATATATTTATATACTATTTTCAAATGGCATCACAAATATCAAATATAGGAGTAAATCTAATAATTTTATAGGCAAAATGGAGAACTCAGTACAATACAGATGTCAGTTTTTCCCACTCTGATCTATAGATTCAAAGTAATCTCAATTAAAACCACAATAGAGGGCTGGGCACAGTGGCTTACACTTGTAAACCCAGTACTTTGGAAGGCCAAGGCGGGCAGATCACCTTGACTGAGGACAGGAGTTCAAGACCACCAGCCTGGCCAACATGGTGAAATGCCATCTCTACTAAAAATACAAAAAACAGCCAGGCGTGGTGGTGGGTGCCTGTAATCCCAGCTACTCTGGGGGCTGAGGCAGGAGAATGGCTTGAACCTGGGAGGCAGGCATTGCAGTGCGCCAAGATTGTGCCACTCCTGCTGGGCGACAGAGGAAGACTGTCTTAAAAAACAAACAAACAAAAAAACCAACAACAATAGATTCTATTTTGGGGAGGGAGAGGACTTCACAAGTTGATTCTGAAGCTTTCATAGAATTACAAAAGACCAAGAATAGCTTAGACATTCTTAAAAGTACTAGATAAGCAGTCTTACTTAGATATCAGGCTTATCGCAAGGCTACATATTCAAGACATCACGATTTTGTATAGCAGAAACAAATTGACCGAAGGAACAAGGTACATAGCCAAGAGACAGACTTGGCCTTAATGGACACTTGAGTAATGATTAAAATGGCACTATAGAGCAGTTTTTTCAATAAACTGTGCTAGGACAATTACATACCCATGTGAAAAAAAAAGAAATAGGGTCCCTAACTCACATGATCAACAAAAGTCAATTTCAGGAGGTCTGGACAATAAAATGTAAACAGCAAAATAATGAGTTCTTAAAGATGATACAGAATATCTTAGGCCAGGCATGGTGGCCCGCACCTGTAATCCCAGCACTTTGGGAGGCCAAGGCAGGCGAATTGCTTGAGCCGAAGAGTTTGACACCAGCTTGGGCAGTGCGATGAAAGCCCATCTCTACAAAAAATACAAAAATTCGCTGGGTGTGGTGGCACATGCCTGTAGTGCCATCTATTTGGGAGGCTGAGATGGGAGGACTCCTCAAGCCTGGGAGGTTGAGGCTGCAGTGACCCTGATTGTGCCACTGCAATCCAGCCAGTGTGACAGTGCGAGACCCTGTCTCCAAAAAACAAAAACCAGAATATCTTCATGACATCAGGGAAGAAATAGATTCCTTAAACCTGAGAGAACACATATTAATTATAAAGGAAAAGACACAAATTTTACTAAGTTAAATTTTTTTTTCTTTTTTTTTTGAGACAGAGTCTCACTCTGTCACCCAGGCTGGAGTATAGTGGCACCATCTCGGCTCACTGCAACCTCTGCCTCCTGGGTTCAAGTGATTCTCCCGCTTCAGCCTCCCAAGTAGCTGGGATTATAGGCATGCGACACCACATCTGGCTGATTTTATTTTTATTTATTTGTTTGTTTATTTGAGACTGAGTTTCGCTCTTGTTGCCCAGGCTGGAGTGCAATGGCGCAATCTCGGCTCACTGCAACCTCCGCCTCCCAGGTTCAAGCGATTCTCTCACCTCAGCCTCCCGAGTAGCTGGGATTACAGGCATGTGCCACCATGCCCGGCAAATTTTGTATTTTTAGTAGAGACGGGGTTTCTCCATGTTGGTCAGGCTGGTCTCGAACTCCCGACCTCAGGTGATCCGCCCACCTCAGCCTCCCGAAGTGCTGGGATTACAGGCATGAACCACCACTCCTGGCCTGACTTTTTAATTTTTAGTAGAGATGGGGTTTCGCCATGTTGGCCAGGCTGGTCTTGAACTCCTGACCTCAAATGATCTGCCTGCGTTGGCCTTCCAAAGTGCTGGGATTACAGGGGTTGAGCCACTGTGCCTGGCTTTCTTTTTTTTTTCTTTCTTTCTTTTTGAGAGTTTCACTCTGTTGCCCAGGCTGGAGTGCAGGGGTGCCATCTCAGCTCACTGTAACCCCCACCTCACAGGTTCAAGCAATTCTCCTGCCTCAGCCCCCCAAGTAGCTGGGACTACAGGCACACACCACAATACCCAGCTAATTTTTGTATTATTAGTAGAGACGGGGTTTTGCCATGTTGGTCAGGCTTGTCTCTAACTCCTGACCTCAAGTGATCCACCCTCCTTGGCCTCTCAAAGTGCTAGAATTCCAGACGTAAGCCACGGCACCCGGCTTAAAATTTAAAACATCTTAATTCATCAAATGATGAAGAGAGCAGAGGGAGAAGATATTTATCACACATAAAACATACAAAAGATTCATATTCAAAAACAGAAAACCTCCTATATATTAATTAGTACAAATACTCAATATACAACTCATGAGAAAAACAGGAATAAGACTTGAATATGTACTTCAAAAAGAGAAAATCCAGATACCCAATAAACACATAAAAAGGTACTAAGCCCCAGCACTTTGGGAGGCCAAGGCAGGTGGATCACGAGTTCAAGACCAGCCTGGCCAACATGGTGAAACTCCGTCTCTACTAATAATACAAAAATTAGCCAGACATGGTGGTGCGTGACTGTAGTTCCAGCTACTTGGGAGGCTGAGGCAGGAGAATTGCTTGAACCCAGGGGATGCAGGTTGCAGTGAGCCGAGATCACGCCACTGCACTCCAGCCTGGGCAACAGAGGGAGACGCCATCTCAAAAAAAGAAAAAAAAAAAAAAGGTACTAAGCCACAACAGGAATTCAGGAAATGAAAATAGGAATCACAATGAGGCTGGCACATGGCTCATGCCTATAATCCCAGTACTTTGGGAGGGTGAGGCAGGAGGATCACTTGAGCTCTGGAGTTCAAGACCAGCGTGGGCAACCAAGCAAGACCCTGTCTACACACACACACACACACACACACAGAGCCAGGCACAGTGATGCATATTTGTAGTCCCAGCTACTTGGGAGGCTGAGGAAGGAGGATTGCATGAGCTGGGAGGCTGAGGAAGGAGGATTGCATGAGCTGGCAGGTCGACGCTGCAGTGAGCCATGATCATGCCACTGTACTCCAGCCTGGGTAAAAGAATGAGATCCTGTCCCAAAAAAAAGAAAAAGAAAAAAGAAACACACACACACACACACACACGAACAATGAGACATACCTACCAGATTAGTATAGTGTTGGTAAGTCAATGAACATGTTCATACACTGCCAGCAAGAGTATAAACTGGTTCAAACAATTCAGAAAATCATTATCTAGCAAAATTGAAGATTCCCATAATCTTTGGTCCACAATCTATTCTGAGGTGGATACCATAGAACAGTGGTTATCAAAGTGTGATACCAAAGCCAACAGCATAACCATCACTTGGGAACTTACTAGAAATACAGATGGTTAGCCCGGCACAGTGGCTCACACCTGTAATCCCAGCACTTTGAGAGGCTGAGGTGGGCAATCATGAGGTCAAGAGATTGAGACCATCCTGGCCAACATGGTGAAACCCTGTCTCTACTAAAAATACAAAAATTAGCTGGGCATGGTGGCACACGCCTGTAGTCCCAACTACTCAAGAGGCTGAGGCAGAAGAATCGCTTGAATCCGGGAGGTAGAGGTTGCAGTGAGCTGAGATTGTGCCACTGCACTCCAGCCTGGCGACAGAGTGAGACTCCGTCTCAAAAAAAAAAAAAAAGGAAGAAATTCTGTCGTTTTCGACAACATGAATTTCGGAAATGGAGAACATTATATTAAGTGAAATACTCCAAACACACAAAGACAAATATGACCTGTTCTCACTTATATGTGGAATCTAAAATAATTGAATGCATAGAAACAGAGAGGAGAATGGTGGTTACCAAAGGCTAGGAGTAGGGAGAATTGGGAAGATGGTAATCAAAGGACACAAAGCCTCAGTTAAATAGGAGAAATACAGTTGATTTTTTTTTTTTTTTTTTTTTTTTGAGACAGAGTCTCACTCTGTCGCCCAGGCTGGAGTGTAGTGGAGCAATCTTGGCTCACTGCAAGCTCCACCTCCTAGGTCCACGCCATTCTCCTGCCTCAGCCTCCCAAGTAGCTGGGACTACAGGCGCCCGCCACCACGCCCAGCTAATTTTTTTTTGTATTTTTAGTAGAGACAGGGTTTCACCATGTTAGCCAGGATGGTCTCAATCTCCTGACCTCATGATCCGACTGCCTTGGCCTCCCAAAGTGCTGGGATTACAGGCATGAGCCACCGCACCCGGCCAGTTGATTTTTAATATCTATTGAACAGCATGGTGACTATAGCTAACAATTCAGTACTACATTTTTTTTTTTTTTTTTTTTTTTGAGATGGAGTTTCACTCCGTCACCCGGGCTGGAGTGCAGTGGCACAATCTCCAATCTCGGCTCACTGCAACCTCCAACTCCCAGATTCAAGTGATTCTCCTGCCTCAGCTTCCCGAGTAGCTGGAATTATAGTAGCATGCCACCATGCCAGACTAATTTTTGTATTTTTAGCAGAGACAGGGTCTTGCCATGTCAGCCAGGCTGGTCTCCAACTCCTGACCTCAGGTAATCCACCCGCCTCAGCCTCTGAAAGTGCTGGGATTGGCCGGGCCAGTGGCTCATGCCTGTAATCCCAGCACTTTGGGAGGCTGAGGTGGGCGGATCACGAGGTCAGGAGTTTGAGACCAGCCTGATCAACATGGTGAAACCCTGTCTCTACTAAAAATTCAAAAAAAATTAGCCAGGCATGGTGGTGTGCACCTGTAATCCCAGCTGCCCAGGAGGCTGAGGCAGGAGAATCGCTTGAACCCAGGAGACGGAGGTTGCAGTGAGCTGAGATCGCACCACTGCACTCCAGCCTGGGCGACAGAGCAAGACTCTGTCTAAAATAAAACAAAACAAAACAAAACAAAACAAAACGAAAAACCAAAGTGCTGGGATTGCCAGCACGAGTCACCACGCCCGAGTACTATATATTTCAGTATCCCTAAGAGAGTAAATCTCAAATCTTCTCATCACAAAAAATGTCAAGGCTGGGTGCAGCATCTAACGCCTGTAGTCTGAGCACTTTGGGAGGGGCAGATTGCTTGAGGCCAGGAGTTCAAGACCAGCCTAGGCAACGTGGTGAAACCCCATTTCTACAAAAAATACAAAAATTCACCAGACATGGTGGTGCATTACTGAAGTCCCAGCTACTTGGGGGTCTGAGGCATGAAGATTGCTTGATCCCAGGAGGCTGAGGCTGCAGTGAGCCATGATCACACCACTGCACTCCAGCCTGGGCAACAAAGCGAGACCCTGTCTCAAAAGAAAAAAAAAAGTCAAATACTTGAGGTGACAGATAAGTTAAACAGCTTGATTTCATCATTTTACATTGTATTAAAAAATCATAACATCAGCCGGGCATGGTGGCTGACGCCTGTAATCCCAGTCAGGAGCTTGAGACCAGCCTGGCCAACATGGTGAAACCCTATCTGTATTAAAAATACAAAAACTGGCTGGGCGCTGTGGCTCATGCCTGTAATCCCAGCACTTTGGGAGGCCAAGGCAGGCGGATCACAAGGTCAGAAGATCAAGACCATCCTGGCTAACATGGTGAAACCCCCTCTCTACTAAAAATACAAAAAATTAGCCGGGCGTGGTGGCAGGCGCCTGTAGTCCCAGGTACTTGGGAGGCTGAGGCAGGAGAATGGCATGAACCTGGGAGGCAGAGCTTGCACTGAGCCGAGATTGCGCCACTAAACTCCAGCCTGGGCAACAGAGCTAGACTCCGTCTCAAAAAAAAAAAATACAAATATTAGCTGGGTATGGTGGCGGGTGCCTGTAATCCCAGCTACTTGGGAGGCTGAGGCAGGAGAATTGTTTGAACCCCTGAGGTGGAGGTTGCAGTGAGCCAAGATTGTGCCATTGCAACTCCAGCCTGGGCGACAGGGCGAGACTCCGTCTCAAAAAAAAAAATAGTAATAATAAATAAATAATAACATCACTTTGTATCCTATAAATACATACAACTATAATTTGTCAATATATAAAAAAAGGAATTTAAAAACTGAAAACAGTCCAAATGCCCATCAGCAAAATAGATAAACTGAAATATTCTTACCATGTAATTTTTTTTTTTTTTTTGAGATGGAGTTTCGCTGTTATTGCCCTGGCTGGAGTGCAATGGCACAATCTCAGCTTACCGCAACCTCCGCCTCCCGGGTTCAAGCAATTCTTCTGCCTCAGCCTCCCCAATAGCTGGGATTACAGACATGTGCCACCACACCCGGCTAATTTTGTATTTTTAGTAGAGATGGGGTTTTACCATATTGGTCAGACTGGTCTCAAACTCCTGGCCTCAGATGATCTGCCCGCCTCGGCCTCCCAAAGTGTGGGGATTACAGTGCTGGGATTACAGGCGTGAGCCACTGCGCCGGCCAATAACCTATTTCTTTACCTGTGTTATGGTTACATTGTTTGTTTCAAAATGATATCTTAAACGATACATTTTCCCATACCTTTCTGAATCTGCAAATTTAACACCTAAGGCTGGGGCACGGTGACTCACACCTGTAATCCCAGCACTTTGGGAGGCCAAGACAGGCGGATCACTTGAGGCCAGGAGTTCAAGACCAGCCAGACCAACATGGCGAAGCTCCTTCTCTACTAATATAAAAAAATTACCTGGGCGTGGTGGCATGTACCTGTAATCCCAGTTACTCGGGAGATTAAGGCAGGAGAATCACTGAACCCGGGAGGCAGAGGCTTCAGTGAGCCAAGATCACGCCATTGCACTCCAGCCTGGGCAACAGAGCAAGACTCTGTCTCAAACAAACAAACAAAAAACTTAAAGGAAATACATTCCCTTCTTAGCCTCCCCAGCCTAAAGCAGCAGGGTATTTGAAGAAACCAGGCTGAGGCAGGAGAATTGCTTGAACTGGGAGGCAGAGGTTGCAGTGAGCGGAGATCGCGCCATGCACTCCAACCTGAGCGACAGAGCAGAACTCCATCTCAAAAAAAAAAAAAAAAAAAAAACAGAAACTATGCCAGAGTTAGAGGCCACAGAGCTTCATATTAAGGCCATCGTTAATTTGCTTGAGAAGATGAAATAAAGCAGGCCTAAAGAGTACTCTGCGGACCATGTAGTAAACACTGTCAGGGTGCTGGTTCAGCTTACGAGGACTCCTTCTATGAGAACGTCTATCAACAGGGGCAGGATCTCAGCAGCTATGCTTGAACTCAATGACCTTCCTCCAAGTCCTAGTTGATTACACTGGGGGAAAAAACTGACCCTTGCTGGATCAACCAAATTCATTCTCCCACGATGAAATTTTGAAGCACAAAGATGGCTCTGCTCAGGAAGAAGGGTCCATAATACCTGCTGAATAGGTCTCAAACAGTTCTCTCTCCCACTTTGCCCAAGACCCAGTGGATTCTATAAGAAACTTCTGTATATTCATAGCACCCTAAGTTGCAAGCTACAGGAACCCAATTCAAATTAGTTTAAGAAAAAAAAGAGCGTAACCATAAGGGTCCCTCATTAAAACTGACAAGTCTTTACCTAGATCAACCAATGAGAAAAGAGAGAAGACATGGATCACCAAAATTAGGTATGAAAGAGAGGACATTTACCACTGACCCTTCATAAATTAAAAGTATTATAAGGGCATACAATTAACTTTATGCCAACAAATTAGACAACATAAATGAAATGGAAAAATTTCTAGAAAAACTGAAATTACCAAAATTAACTCAGGAAGAAACACAGCTGGGCTCAGTGGCTCATGCCTGTAATCCCAGTACTTTGGGAGGCCGAGGTAGGTGGGTGATTTGAGGTCACGAGTTCAAGACAAGCCAGGCCAACATGGTAAAACCCCATCTCTAATAAAAATACAAAAATTAGCCAGGCGTGGTGGCATGCATCTGTAATCTCAGCTACTCGGGAGGCTGAGGCAGGAGAATTGCTTGAACCAGGGAGGCAGAGGTTGCAGTGAGCTGAGATCACACCACCGTACTCCAGTCTGGGTGACAAGAGTGAGACTCCATCTCAAAAAACAAACAAAAACAATAAATAGAAACCTAATAGATCTCTAACAAGTAAAAAAAATTAAATGAGTAATTAAAAATTTTCCTACAAAGAGGCCAGGCTTGGTAGCTCACACCTGTAATCCCAGCACTTTGGGAGGCTGAGGCAGCAAGATTGCCTGAGCCCAGGAGTTAGAAACTGCACTGAGCTGTGATCGTGCCACTGTACTCCAGCCCAGGCAACAGAGCAAGACCCTGTCTCTAAAATAAATAATTTTTCCTACAAAAAAAAGCACAGATAGTTTCAGTGATTAATTCTACCAAAGATTTAAAAAGAAATAATAGGCCGAGCACTATCGCTCAACACCTGTAATCCCAGCACTTTGGCAGGCAGAGGTGGGCAGATCACCTCAGGAATTTGAGACCAGCCTGGCCAACATGATGGAGAATCGCTTGAACTGGGCAGGCAGAGATTGCAGTGAGCCGAGACTGTACCACTGCACTCCAGCCTGGGCAACAGAGCGAGACTCCATGTCAAAAATAAATAAATAAATAAATAAATATCAAAACAATGCTCCATAAACTCTTCCAGAAAATAGAGGAACACTTCCAAATTCATTGAGACCAGTATCGCCATCATAACAAAGACAAAGATATTACCAAAAAGAAAAATAAAAGACCAATAGACCTCGTGACTACAGACATAAAAATCCTCAAAAAATAGTAGCAAACCAAATCCAACAACGTATAAAAACCACTGTGATGGTTAATGTTAAGTGTCAACTTGATTGAATTGAAGGACGCAAAGTATTGTTTCTGGGTGTATCTGGGCGTTGCCAGAAGATATTAACATTTGAGTCAGTGGACTAGGAGAGGAAGACCCACCCACAATGTGGGTGGGCACCATCCAACGGCTGCCAGCACCACTAGGAAAAGCAGGCAGAAGGTAGGAGAAGCTGACTAGCTAAGTCTTCTAGCCTGCATCTTTCTCCCATGCTGGATGTTTCCTGCCCTCGAACATCAGACTCCAAGTTCTTTGGCTGTTGGATTCTTGGACTTACACCAATGGTTTACCAGGGGCTCACAAGCCTTTGGCCACAGATTGAAGGCTGCACTGTTGGCTTCCCTATTTTTGAGGTATTGGGACTTGGACTGAGCCACTGCTGGCTTCCTTGCTCCTCAACTTGCAGACTGCCTATCACGGGACTTCACCTTGTGATTGTGTGAGTCAATTCTCCTTAACAAACTCCCTTTCACATACACATATATCCTATTAGTTCTGTTCCTCTAGAGGACCCTGACTAACACAACTATATGCCATATAAACACCATGACTAAGTGGGATTTATCCCAGGAATGCAAGGCTGATTTAACATTCAAAAATCAATTTATGTAATACACCTATTAATAGAAAAAAGAGCAAAAACCACATGATTATCTCAATAAATGTACAAAAACCATGTGACAAAATCCATTAACATTCACGATAAAACCTATGAAAGGTCACAAGAAAATAGATGACATACTAAAAATAGGATAATTTGAAGATGGTATATTTACAAACTTGTGGGTATAGAGGAACTACAAGAAACAGTGCAGGAACCTGAAGCCAGTAGAAGCTAAGGTGGTACTACCTCTAGGCCCAAAGAGATGAGGGGAGGGAACAATTACCAAAACCCAGAAAGGGAGAGTTATACAGAGGCTGCCACGTTATAAGGTGCCGAGAGCTTCATTGGAGAGATACAGTCAACTGAAGGTAAAAGTCTGAAAGCAACCATGATCAAAAGTAGAAGACACGAGAGCCAGCCAACCTGGATGATATAACTTCAAAGCTCAGGAAAATAATACTCACTTCTGCTCAGAATCAAATTTTAATGATTGATATTTCCATGCACTACTCAGAATGTTTTTTGACTGTAACATAATGTACGAAATGTGTATTATCTTATAGATGAAAAATTTGAAATATCAATGACAAAAAAAACTTACCCACAGTTACTACCTCACTCATAATTTATAATTTTTTCATACACAAAATGTTTAGTTTTATATGAACCATCATTCCAGTTATATTTTTTTCTCAAGTCCCATCACTCACCTGGAATCAACCTTCTTCTCCATTCTCTGCTTAATCACTTTTTGATGGAAATTGTGGCTTGATATACACTTCTCAGTGAGCAGATTCTTCATGAATCAAAGTCTTTTATCTTCCCCTTCTAACTACAAGAAAAAGAGAATAAAAAAGAGAGAAAATGATTTGCAGCCTCTCAGGAGCCACATTTCTGAACTATATGCCAGCTCCTAGTCTCCTGCTCTCCTTAATTCAACACTAGATGAATGTGGGCTAGGTCTCTGACTTAAAATATTATATTTAAATTACTTTTTTTTTTAATTTTTTTGAGACGAAGTCTTGCTCTTTCACCCAGGCTGGAGTGCAGTGGCACGATCTCAGCTCACTGCAACCTCCACCTCCTGGGCTCAAGCGATTCTCCTGCCTCAACCTCTCAAGTAGCTGGGATTACAGGTACCTGCCACCACACCCAACTAATTTTTGTATTTTTCAGTAGAGACAAGATTCCACCATGTTGGCCAGGCTGGTCTCAAACTCCTGACCTCAAGTGATCTGCCCACCTTGGCCTCCCAAAGTGCTAAAATTACAGTGGTGAGCCACCACACCCAGCCTCATTGTGGCTTTGATTTGCATTTCTCTAATGATCAGTGATATTGAGCTTTTTTTCATGTTTGTTCACCATATATATGTCTTCTTTTGAAAAGTGTCTGTTCATGTTGTTTGCCCACTTCTTAATGGGGCTGTTTTTATCTCATAATGTTGTAAATGCTAGATGTTAGACCTCTGTCAGATGGACAGAGTGCAAAAATTTTCTCCCATTCTGTAGGTTGTCTGTTTACTCTGATGATAGTTTCTTTTGCTGTGCAGAAGTGCTTTAGTTTAATTAGAAATTAAACTAAATTTGTCAATTTGTGATTCTGTTGCAATTGCTTCTGGCATCTTCATCATGAAATCTTTGCCTGTGCCTATGTCTTGAATGGTATTGCCTAGATTTTCTTCCAGGGTTTTTATAGTTTTGGGTTTTAAATTTAAGTCTTTAACCCATCTTGAGTTAGTTTTTATATATGGTGTAAAGAAGGGGTCCAGCTTCAATATTTGAATATGGCTAGCCAGTTCTCCCAGCACCTGTTATTAAATAGGGACTCCTTTCCCCATTGCTGGTTTTGGTCACATTTGTCAAAGATCAGATGGTTGTAGGTGTGCAGTCTTATTTCTGGGTTCTCTATTCTGTTCCATTAGTCTATGTTTCTGTTTTTGTGCCAGTACCATTCTGTTTTTGTTACTGTAACCTCGCAGTATAGTTTGAAGTTGGGTAGCATGATGCCTGCAGCTTTGTTCTTTTTGCTTAGGATTGTCCTGGCTATTCATGCTTTTTTGTTCCATATGAATTTTAAAGTAGTTTTTTCTAATTCTGTGAAGAATGTCAATGGTAGTTAATGGTAACAGCATTGAATCTGTAAATTGCTTTGGGCAGTATGGCCATTTTCATGATATTGATTTTTCCTATACATGAGCATGGAATGTTTTTCCATTTGTTTGTGTCACCTCTGATTTCTTTGAGCAGTGGTTTGTAGCTCTACTTGAAGAGGTCTTTCACTTCCCTTGTTAGCTGTATTCCTAGGTATTTTATTATTTTTGTGGCAACTGTGAATAGGAATTCATTCATGATTTGGTTCTCTGCTTGCCTGTTGTTGGTGTACAGGAATGTCTGCAATTTTTGCACATTGATCTGTATCCTGAGGCTTTGCTGAGGTTGGTTATCAGCTTAAGAAGCTTTTGGGCTGAGACGATGGGGTTTTCTAGATACAGAATCATGTCATCTGCAAAATGTTATTTTCTAATGAAGGAAACTGAGAGGAGAGCGAGCCACACTCAGAAGTTGTGCCTGGTTCTTTCTTCATGTCTAGATGCTTCAGCACCTTCAACTTCCCTTCACAAAAACACCAGTAGAGGCCAAGATTTCTTATTTTTCCTCAGATTAATTTTTATGGTTATCAGTGTTACTGTGTGTAGTTTTCATTTTCTTTCTTTTCTTTTTTTTAAAGACAGAATTTCTGGCCAGGCACAGTGGCTCACGCCTGTAATCCCAGCCCTTTGGGAGGCTGAGTCGGGCAGATCACCTGAAGTCAGGAGTTCAAGACCAGCCTGCCCAACATGGGAAAACTCCATCTCTACTAAAAGTACAAAAATGAGCCAGGCATGGTGGTGGGCACCTGCAATCCCAGCTACTCAGGAGGCTGAGGCAGAAGAATCACTTGAACCCGTGAGGCAGGTTGCAGTGAACCGAGATCACACCACTGCACTGCAGCCTGGGCAACAGAGCAAGACTCTGTCTCAGAAAAAAAAAAAAAAAAGACAGGATTTCCCTCTGTCACCCAGGCTGGAATGCAGCAGTGCAATCGCAGCTCACTGCAGCCTCGACCTCCTCAGGCTCAGGTGATCCTCCCACCTCAGCCTCCCAAAGTGTTACGATTACAGGCATGAGCCACCATGCCTGGCCTTTTTTCTTTCTCACGCTGTCACCCAGGGTCTCATGTTATTATCCAGGCTGAAGTACTGCGGCACCATCACGGCTCACTGCAGCCTCAACCTCCCATGCTCAAGCAGTCCTCTCACCATAGCCTCCCAAGTAGCTGGGACCACAGGTATGTGCCACCATGCTCAGCTTATTTTTTATTATTTGTAGAGACAGGGTCTTGCTATATTGCTCAGGCTGGTCTCAAACTCCTGAGCTCAACTGATCTATCCACCTTAGCCTCCCAAAGTGCCTTTTTTTGTGTGTAGAGATAGGGTCTCACTCTGTCACTCAGGCTGGAGTGCAGTGGTGTTCTCATAGCTGACTGTAATCTCAAACTCCTGGCCTCAAGCAATTCTCCTGTCTCGGCCTCCCAAGTAGCTGGGACTACAGACAGGCACCACTGCACCTTGCCTAGTTTTCATTTTTTCTTTTTCTTTTTCTTTTTTTCCGAGACAGTCTCGCTCTGTTGCCCAGGCTGGAATGCAGTGGTGCAATCTAGGCTCACTGCAACCTCCACTTCCCGGGTTCAACCGATTCTCCTGCTTCAGCCTCCCATGTAGCTGGGATTACAGGAATGCACCACCACAACTGGCTACTTTTTGTATTTTTAGTAGAGATGGGGTTTCCCCATGTTGGCCAGGCTGGTCTTAAACTCCTGACCTTAAATGATCTGCCCACCTCGGCCTCCCAAAGTGCTGGGATTATAGGCGTGAGCCACTGTGCCTGAGCCCATTTTTCATTTTCAATTGGTGATAATTTGTATCAAAAATATTCATTAGGAACTGAATAAATTATGGCATAGTTTTTTAAATTATTATTATTATTACTATTTTTCTTTTAGTGCCAGGAATAGCAGTGTTGTGGGTTGAATTGTGTTCCCCAAAAAAGATTTGCTGAAATCCTCACCCCTGCTACCTGCGAATGTGACATTATCTGAAAACAGGGTCTTTGCAGAAGTAATTAAGATGTAAGTTAAGATGAGGTCACATGGGAGTAGGGTGGGCCCATAATCCAACACGATTTGTGTCTTTCTTAAAAGAGAAGAGATACAGGGACAGATACACATAAAGAGGAGAATGCAATGTGATGACAGAGGCAGAGACTAGAGTGATGTATCTACAAGAATTGCCAAAGATTGCTGGCAACATCAGAAGCTAAGAGAAAGGCATGGAACAGATTCTCCCCTGAGCCTTCAGGGAGAGGATGACACCTTGATTTCAGACTTCTAGCCTCTAAAACTGTGAAAGAATAAACTTCTATTAGTTTTAAGCCACCCGGTTTGTGGTACTTTGTTACAGCAGCCCTAGGAAACTAATACAAGTAGTAAGACAGAAGAGTAAGATTTAAGTAAATGGTGGAGGCAAGCTAACAGGGTGAACACATCCTGTGTTGAGTAACGGTGATGCATTTACAAGTTGTTTCATTCTAAAAGAATGAAGTCACCCTTATAATCAAGGTCACATATTTCAATGACAATCAGACAAGGAATTAGCCAGTTTATCCATACAAAACGAATAATCCTTACTTACATCAAACCGATGTCCTAGTTTTTCTGATACTACACTCCAAGTAACAGAGGTCATCATAAGTGATTATTTCTATAAATAAATCAAATGGAGTATTCAAATAGTGATTTTTCGTGAAATACTGCTATAATCAATGTGTCACCGCCTTGGGTTTCTGTCATAATGATCCTGTGGAATGTCCTTCATGGTCAAGGACTCCCTTCTGTTATATACTCTATACCAGCATTCTACCTATTTGTACATGTCTGCCTTCCCCACTAAAATATAAATTCCATGGAAACAGGAATCACATCTGATCTTCTCTCCATTCTATCTCCAGCCTCTAAAACAACGTCTGTAACCTCACAGATAAAATACACATATACTGGAAAAACTAGGACACAGGTTTGCTTTCAATAAGGACATGTATGAATATAAACTTGCTTATAAGTTGGAATATAATGAATATAATGATAATCAAATACAAAACATGGCCGAGGACAGTGGCGCATGCCTGTAATCCTAGAACTTTGGGAGGCCGAAGCAGGTGGATCACCTGAGGTCAGGAGGTCGCCACCAGCCTGACTAACGTGGTGAAACCCTGTCTCTACTTAAAAAAAAAAAAAAAAAATTGGCATGGTGGCGAATGCCTGTAATCCGAGCTACTTGGGAGGCTGAAACAAGAGAATCACTTGTACCTAGGAGGCGGAGGTTGCAGTGAGCCAAGATCGCACCACTGTACTCCAGCCTGGGCAACAAGAGCGAAACTCCATCTCAAAAAAAAAAAAAAAAAAAACAGTCCAAGAAAAACAAAAATTATTAGGTGTTGACTCCCAGTTAAACATGTAGATTGACCTTCTAAGGTGGCAGCAAAGAATACAAAGGAACGAACCATAAGGTTAAAGAGATGACAGAAGCGATTATAGGACATGAGGGATTTCCACAGGTTTTACAAGAAAGGAAAATGAAGTGGCCTAACAGGTTTGAGGAAATGAAAAACTTCAGAGTGGATACCAAAGGAAAGTGGACCACACAGAATTCCAACCCTGTCAGACAGGGTATTCACGCCACTTCTGCTGTCCCGCTTCCAAAATTCTGGTAGCTAGATGGTACCTCTCAGGCAGGAGACTGGAAAAGTCTTCTCAGAAAACAATAAAAACTAACACATCTCCAGATTCTGAGACCTGTGCCTTACTCTCCATCAATGAAAAAGCAGACTTGTCCCTAGATTACCCTAAAGTGAAGCCCCTGAACTCACAAGTCCTGCTCAGACACAAGGAGCTTCCAACTAATTTCTCAGTTACACCTTTTTTTTTTTTTTTTTTTGAGACAGAGTCTCGCTTTGTTGCCCAGGCTGCAGTGCAGTGGCTCAATCTCGGCTCACTGCAAACTCTGCCTCCTGGGTTCAAGCGATTCTTCTGTCTCAGCCTCCTGAGTACCATCACACCTGGCTAAGCTAGACTGGTCTTGAATTCCTGACCTCAAGTGATCTGCCCGCCTCAGCCTCCCAAAGTGCTGGGATTACAGGTGGGACCCACCACGCTCGGCCATAATCTCTCAGTTACACTTAAGTATAAACAGACAATTGAGAATCATAAAACATTTAGAAAAGACCTCCAACAAATAAAAAAGAGACCAAAATAAACCCAACAAAGCACTGATGAAGTGCTACCACCCATGATGAAATCTTGCTAAAAAATTGAACCTGGCCGGGCGCAGTGGCTCACGCCTGTAATCCCACGACTTCAGGAGGCCGAGGCAGGTGGATCACCTAAGGTCAGGAGTTCAAGACCAGCCTGGACAACATGGTGAAACCCCGTCTCTAATAAAAATACAAAAATTAGCCGGGCATGGTGGCAGGTGCCTGTAATCCCAGCTACTTGGGAGGCTGAGGCAGGAGAATCGCTTGAACCCAGGAGGTGGAGGCTGCAGGAGCCGAGATCACGCCATTACACTCCAGCCTGGGTGACAAGCGTGAAACTCCATCTCAAAAAAAAAAAAAAATTGAACCTGAATATCATCCAGCCTCATCTAGAACTAAGTACAGTAAGTCCTCACTTAATGTCATTGATAGGTTCTTGGAAACGGCAACTTTAAGCAAAATGATGTATAAGGAGACCAATTTTACCATAAAAGGTAGTTGATACAAACAAGATTTAAGTTCCTGTAACATATTTCTGGTCAGAAAACATCACCAAACTTCTAAATAAAGATCCAAACCCTTTTAATATTAAACACTGAAATAAATGTGAGCTATACATATATGTACAGAAGATTCATAAGAACAAGTAAGATAATTATTTACCCACTTATTCCAGTTCAGGGTCAAGGTTGGCTAGAGTGTATCCTGGCAGCTCAGGGCACAAGGGGGGATGCCACCCTGGACAGGAAGCCATTCATGGCATTGCACACTCACACACACACTCACTGACACTAGGATCATTTAGACATGTCAATGAAGCTAATGTGCTTATCGTGGGGACATGGGAGGAAATCAGAGCATCCGGCAAAAACCCACATAGGCATGAGGAATGTGCCAACTACAGACAGACAGTGGACCCATCCAGAATCAATTTTTTCTTATCAATGTTATGTTTTAACAAAATGTTGAGAGTACCACACAATCAAAAATGTATAGACTATAATCAAAATAACATCTATAGATAAGGTACTCTGCTACGCATTAGTGCTAAGCACTTTTCATGAACTACCTACTTTAATATAACTACCTCAGCAAGTGGTTATCAACTTCATTTTACAGCTGGAGGGCTCAAGGTTCCCAGCTAACAAGTGGCGGAACTGGGACTAGTACAGGCAGACCTCAGAGATACTGAGAGTTCAGCTGCAGACCACATAAATAAAGCCAGTCACATGAATTTTTTGATTTCCCAGTTCATATAAAAGTTATGTCAGCTGGGCACGGTGACTCACGCCTGTAATCCCAGCACTTTGGGAGGCCGAGATGGGCGGTCATGAGGTCAGGAGATCGAGACCATCCTGGCTAGCACAGTGAAACCCCGTCTCTACTAAAAATACAAAAAATTAGCCGGGCGTGGTGGCGGGCGCCTGTAGTCCCAGCTACTCGGGAGGCTGAGGGAGGAGAATGGCGTGAACCCAGGAGGCAGAACTTGCAGTGAGCCAAGATCACGCCACTGCACTCCAGCCTGGGCAACAGAGCTACACTCCGTCTCAAAAAAAAAAAAAAGTTATGTCTACACTTGTAGTTAAGTGTGCAATAGCATTGTCTAAAAAACTAATGTACATACCTTAATTTAAAAATATTTGGCCGGGCACAGTGGCTCACACCTGTAATCTCAGCACTTTGGGAGGCCAAGGTGGGTGGGTCACGGGGTCAGGAGTTCGAGACCAGCCTGGCCAATATGGTGAAACCCCGTTCTACTAAAAATACAAAAATTAGCTGGTGGTGGTGGTGGGCACCTGTAATCCCAGCTACTCAGGAGGCTGAGGCAGGAGAATTGCTTGAACCTGGGAGACGGAGGTTGTAGCAAGCCGAGATCACGCCATTGCATTCCAGCCTGGGTGACAGAGCAACACTCAGACTCAAAAAAAAAAACAAAAAACAAAAACAAAACAAACACACACACACAAAAACACCACTTTATTGGGCAGGCACAATGGCTCACGCCTGTAATCCCAGCACTTTGGGAGGCCCAGGCGGGAGAATCACCTGAGATCAGGAATTTGAGACCAGCCTGGCCAACATGGCAAAACCCTGTCTCTACTAAAAACACAAAATTAGCTGGGTGTAGTGGCAGGTGCCTGTAATTCCAGCTACTCAGGAGGCTGAGGCAGGAGAATCGCTTGAACCCAGGAGGCAGAGGTTGCAGTGAGCCAAGATCATGCCAATGCATTCCACCGTGGGTGATGAGATGAAACTGTCTCAAAAATAAAAATAAAAATAAATAAAAACACCTTATTGCTAAAAAATGCTAACAATTATCTGATTCTTCAGTGAGTTGTAATATTTTTGCCAGTAGAGGGTCTTGCCTCCATGTTAATAGCTGCTGACTGATCAGGGTAGTGATTGCTGAAGGTTGGAATGGCTATGGCAATTTATTTTTTCTTTTTTTTTTTTTTTTTTTGAGACAGAGTCTCACTCTGTGGTGCGATCTCAGCTCCCGGGTTCAAGCGATTCTCCTGCCTCAGCCTCCCAAATAGTGGGGATTACAGGTGCCCGCCACCACAACTGGCTTTTATATTCTTAGTAGAGTCAGGGTTTCACCATGTTGGCCAGGCTGGTCTTGAACTACTGACCTCAAGTGATCGCCCACCTCAGCCACCCAAAGTGCTAGGATTACAGGCATGAGCCTGTAATGCAGGATTATACTGCATCCGGCAACTGTGGCATTTTCAATGTTTTTTTTTTTTTTTTTTTAAGATGGAGTCTCACTCTGTCGCCCAGGCTGGAGCACAGTGGTTGCAATGCTCACTGCAACCTCCGCCTCCTGGGTTCAAGCGATTCTCCTGCCTCAGCCTCTGGAGTAGCTGGGACTACAGGCGCATACCACCGTGCCTGGTAATATTTGTATTTTTAGTAGAGACGGGGTTTCACCATGTTGGCCAGACTGGTCTCGAACTCCTGACCTCAGGTAATCCGCCCGCCTCAGCCTCCCAAAGTGCTATGACAATTTCTTAAAATAAGACAATAGTGATGTGTGTCACATCGATGGACTCTCTTCCTTTCATCAAAGATTTCTCTATAGCATGTAATGCTATTTAATAGCATTTTACCCACAGTAGAACATCTTTCAAATTGAAGTCAATCCTCTTAAATCCTACCACTGCTTTGTCAACTAAGTTTATGTAATACTCTAAATCCTTTGCTGTCATTTCAACAATGTTCACAGCATCTTCACCAGGTGTAGATTTCAACTCAAGAAACCACTTTCACCAGGCACGGTGATTCACACCTGTAATCCCAGCACTTTGGGAGGCTGAGAGATGGAGACCATCCTGGCTAACACAGTGAAACCCTGTCTCTACTAAAAATACAAAAAATTAGCCAGGCGTGGTGACACATGCCTGTAATCCCAGCTACTCGGGAGGCTGAGGCAGAAGAATCACTTGAACCCGGGAGGCGGAGGTTGTGGTGAGCACTTTGGGAGGCCAAGGCAGGAGGACTGCTTGAGACCAGGAGTTCAAGACCAGCCTGCTCAACTAACAAGACCCTCATCTCAAAAAAAAAATTAGCGAGGCATGGTATTACACACCCAGGTACTGAGGAGGCAGGAGGCTAAGGCAGGAGGATCACTTTCGCCTAGAAGTTCAAGTCTGCAATGAGCCATGATCACCACTGCACTCCAGCCTGGACAACAGAACAAGACCCTGTCTGAAAACAAAAGTAAAAACAAAGCCGGGCATGTAGTGGCTCAGGTCTGTAATCCCAGCACTTTGGGAGGCCGAAGCAGGTGGATCACATGAGGTCAGGAGGTCAAGAGTGTGCCATGCACTCCAGCCTGGGCAATAAGAGTGAAACTCCATCTCAAAAAAAAAAAAAAAGAAAAAAAGAAGCCACTCCTCATCCATCCAAGTTTTATCATGAGGTTGCAGCAATTGGTCACATTTTTAGGCTCCCCTTCTAATTCCAGTTTGCTTGATTTTTCTATCATATCTGCAGTTACTTCCTCCACTCGGGTCTTGAGTCTCTCAGTTATCCATGGCGGCCTGACTCAACTTTTTCAAACTCCTTTTAATGATTTTTTTTTTTTTTAGACGGAGTCTTGCTCTGTCGCCCAGGCTGGAGTGCAGTGGTGCAGTCTTGGCTCACTGCAACCTCTGCCTCCTGGGTTCAAGCAATTCTCATGCCTCAGCCTCCTGAGTAACTGGGATTACAGGCGCCCACCACCACACCCAGCTAATTTTTGTATTTTTAGTAGACACAGGGTTTCTTCAAGTTGGCCAGGCTGGAATTGATATTTTAACCCCTTCCCACAAATCATGAATGTTCTTAATGGCACCTAGAAATCCTTTCCAGAACATTTTCAATTTACTTTGCCCAGATCCATCAGAGGAATCACTACCTATGGCAGCTATGGGGTCACAAAATATATATATATTTTTTTGATATGGAGTCTCATCACTCTGTCGCCCAGGCTGGAGTGCAATGGCGCAATCTTGGCTCACTGCAAGCTCCGCCTCCCGGGTTCAAGTGATTCTCCTGCCTCAGCCTCCCCAGTAGCTGGGATTATGGGTGCCCGCCACCACATCCGGCTAATATTTTGTATTTTTTAGTTGAGACGGGGTTTCACTATGTTGGCCAGGCTGGTCTCAAACTCCTGACCTCGTGATCCACCCGCCTCGGCCTCCCAAAGTGCTGGGATTACAGGCATGAGCCACCATGCCCAGCCCACAAAATGTATTTCTTAAATAATGACTTGAAAGTCAAAATTACTCCTTGAACCATGGGCTATAGAATGCATACTGTGTTAGCAGACATGTAAAGTAACATTAATCTCTTTGTACATCTTCATCAGAGTTCCTTGGTGACCAGGTGCCTTGTTAATGACCAGTAATATCTTGAAAGGAATCCTTTTTTCTGAACAGTAGGTCTCGATAGTAGGCTTAAAATATTCAGTAAACCACACTGTAAATATGATGTAAAGACATTCAGTAAAGAGATGTGTGGTCATCCTGGGTTTGTTGTTGCATTTACAGAGCATAGGCATTTCTAGCTTCGTCATTTCTAGCTTCGTCATTTCTAGCTTTTGATATAAAGTGAGAGACATGGAACTCTTCCTTTCACTGAACACTTAGGGGCCACTGTGGGGCTATTAATTGGCCTAATTTCAATATTGTTGCCTCTCAGGCTACAAGGAGGACCGAGAGGGAGGAGAGAAACAGGGAACTGGCAGGTAGTGGAGCAGTCAGACACAACACTTAAGTTTGCTGTCTTATACCAGTGAGGTTCGTGGCCACCTAAAACAATTGCAATAACAACATCAAAGATCACTGATCACAGATCACTGTAACGGTGCACCTGAAATAAAAAGTTTGAAATATAGCGATAGTTACCAAAGTGTAAGTGACAGGAAGTGGGCACATGCTGTTGAAAAAATAGTTGCTCGGTGCAGGGCTGCTTGCTACAAACTTTCAATTTGTAAAAAACACGGTATCTGTGAAGTGCAATAAAGCGAGGTATGGCTGTACTCAAGTCCCTCACATCATTCATTCAACAAATATTTACAACACATCTACACAGCAGTTAAGAAACCTGAACAGCCTCCCATAAAAACAGGTACCCACCTCCCACGCGGGGAAGGCTTCCAGGTTTGTTTACTGCGTTACTCCCTGCGGGCTCAGTGGGAGTAAGGTCGCCCATATACCAGCCCTTCCGCTCCTGGGCCACGGAGCCGGGAGGAGGAAACCCCTGATTTGGATCCGCGCACGCTAAGGGGCATTGCGTGGACTCGAGCACCGGCCAGGAGCGCACTAGACGCCTGGGAGGATGCGGTGCCCCCAGGGCGGAAGACAAGAAGCCGAGAAGACGCGGCGGGAGAGGATGGCAGGCTCCGGGCCCCGTCCTGCGCCCTCTTGTCGCACTTCCTCCATTCCCGCACCACAGACCCGCAGGTAGACAACATCACCTGCACTTTCAGGGGAGGAAGCGGAGGCTCGGACAGATTTCACCGGGCTCGGAGGAACCCGACTGAGGTCCTTGCCGGGCTCACTGCCGGAAAGGCCGAGCCCAGAAGAGGGTGGGGACGTTAGGGCCGGGCCTCGTACCTGGGGAAGCCGAGCCATCGGGCCTGACGTTGGGAGAAAACCCGGCGGTATACGGCGATCCGGGACCTGCTTCTTAACTCCCGCGCGGTCCACGCCCGCCTCAGCGCTTCGCGCGCCTCTAGACGCCAGTCTCGCGCGGGCCCGCCCTCGTCTCCACGGCGACGCGGCGCGCACGAGGACCACCCCGCCCAGACCCCGGGGCTTGCGCAGCCTCAGTCGGGTAGGTGGCGCACTTCGGGTTGCTTTGCAGCAGCAGCAATGAGAATCGGTTTCGAGGGGCGTGGAGCATGCACCCTCTGGGCATCCCCACCGAGGGTTCTTTATCTCCTTGGCTCGCCAGCTTCGCTCTGAGCTCAGCTTGCTACTGCTCCTCTTAGACAAGAGAAGTGGGAGGTATTCCGAGGCGGAACCCCGAGTTACGCCGCCCGCGGCCGAGCACTAAAGATGAGGTTCCAGCTGGGAGGCGGCTGCGTACGAAAGTCCTCCCTCCCTCACTTCCGGACTCGTGCGTGGGCCTCTCTGGCTTTTGGTTCACAGGGAGTGGAAACCGGAACCCGTGGAGTATGACCCGCCCATGCGTGGACCCGGCAGGTTGCTACAACTTGCACTTGGAGGGGAGAGGTCCCAAGGCCCCCGAATTAGAAATGCCAGGCTCATCTCTTTTTGTAACCCTTCATTTTAAAATGTAATTAATAAGCACTCTTTTTGTTAAATTTTTAAATTTGGGCCGATCCTAATAATCTTAAAAATAGGAGTGGGAGGGGTAAGTGGGACTTTTCAAATACTTTTTTACGTGCTTTGTAAAACATTTGAAAGCACGTGAGATTCCTGGTGCAGAGACTAAAAGCAGTAGTTATTTATTTGAAAGATTTTACGCTAAAAACAGGAAAATTAACTTGTTGGGTGTCTCGGGCTTAGCATCACAGACAATTTGTATTTTTGCCCTATTTTCTACATGCTAATTTTTGCAATTAAAACATTTATTATTTATTTTTTGAGAAGGAGTCTCCCTCTGTAGCCCAGGCTGCAGTGCAGTGGCGTGATCTGGGCTCACTTCCACCTCCACCTCCCGGGTTCAAGTGTTTCTCCTGCCTCAGCCTCCCAGGCGCACGCCACCACGCCCGGCTAATTTTTTTTTGTTTTTTTGATAGAGACGGTTTTTACCATGTTGGCCAGGTGTGTCTCGAACTCCTGACCTCAGATGATCCGCCCGCCTCGGCCTCCCAAAGTGCTGTGATTACAGGCATGAGCCACCGCGCCTGGCCCTAAATTATGTTTTATATGGTGAAACCTCGTCTCTACTAAAAATAAAATTTAAAAAATTAGCCGGGGGTGGTAGTGGGCACCTGTAATCCCAGCTACTGGGGAGGCTGAGGCAGGAGAATCGCTTGAACCCAGGAGGCAAATGTTGCAGTGGGCCGAGATCGTGTATTTGCATTTGCCTGGGCAACAAGAGCAAAACTGTCTCAATAATAATAATAATAATAATTTAAAGGGAGTTCTACTTTAGCGGACATCAATGCTAATGTTTTAGGGACAACTTTTATCTGAACTTAATGTGGCCAAGTAGTTTTAAAATAATTTAGTAAGCTTCAAGGTTGTAATTAACAGTATAACAAAAATATATTTACTGTAATTTAGCCTAAGTACTTTTATGTAATTATGTAAATTTATATAAATTATATATTTAGGATAAGTCAATAAGCACTTCTTTCTAGATGATTTGAGCTAATTTCCTAATGCTTTCTTCCTGTTATGTGCATTTACCATCCTCAGCTTTGACAAATTTAGGAGGGATGAAAGGCATTTCCATTTGAGTTACAATGAAAATAGTCCTGTTGGGAAAGATTAGAAGATAATAGTACATAATAATAGCTAGGACAAGGACATCTTAGAGGCTGGGCACGGTGGCTCACACCTGTAATCTGAGCATTTTGGAAGGCTGAGCCAGGAGAATTGCCTGAGCCCAGTAGTTCAAGAACAGCCTGGGCAACATAGTGCCCATCTCTACAAAATATAAAAAATTTGACCAGGCGCGGTGGCTCACGCCTATAATCCCAGCACTTTGAGAGGCCAAGGTGGGTGATCACTTGAGGTCAGGAGTTTGAGACCAGCCTGGCCAACACGGTGAAACCCCATCTCTACTACTAAAAATAGAAAAATTAGCCAGGCGTGGAGTCACGAGCCTGTAATCCCGGCTACTCGGGGGGTTGGGGCAGGAGAATCGCTTGAACCTGGTGGGGGCGGTTGCAGTAAGCCAAGATCCTGCCACTGCACTCCAGCCTGGGTGACAGAGCGAGACTCTGTCTCGAAAAAAAAAAAAATCTAAGGGTTACTCTTGGAGCAAGAAAAACTGAGTAGGAAAAAGCCCATTTAGAGAGGTGCAATCCAGCCTTCTGTGATGAGGCTGCTGAAAGGTCATGGCCTGGCATTAAACTCTCTCACAGGTGCTCTCATAATTTCTGGGTTTCTAGTATTTTCTTTTTTCTTTTTTTTTTTTTTTTGAGACAGTTTCACTTTTGTCACCCAGGCTGGAGTGCAGTGGCGCGATCTCGGCTCACTGCAACCTCCGCCTCTCAGGTTCAAGCAATTTTCCTAGCTCAGCCACCCAAGTAGCTGGGATTACAGGCATATGCTACCACGCCCAGCTAATTTTGTATTTTTAGTAGAGACGGGGTTTGGTCACGTTGGCCAGGCTGGTCTAGAATTCCTGATCTCAAGTGATCCTCCCACCTTAGCCTCCCAAAGTGCTAGGATCACAGGCATGAGCCACCATGTCCGGCCAGTTTCTGGTATTTTCATTTGCTTCTCTGCTGTTCTTGGACTGCTAATTTCCCCGACTGACTGAACCTTTGAGACCCCTTATGCCAAACTTTGGGCCAACAATTTAGACCTAAACCAAGATCTTACACATATTTAGTAAAGAACTAGAATAATTTCTCTCTCAAAGAGCTTTCCCAAGCTGATACTTGAAAATTGGTTATTAGTTGCAGAAGGGGGCATTTAGAATTACAAATTATTGGCCTGGCACGATGGCTCACACCCAGCACTTTCGGAACCCAAGGTTGGGGGATCACGTGAGGTCAGGAGTTCAGACCAGCCTGGCCAACATGGTGAAACCCCATCTCTACTAAAAATACAAAAGTTAGCCAGGTGTGGTGGCACAGGCCTGTAGTCCCAGCTTCTTGGGAGGCTGAGGCATGAGAATTGCTTGAACTCAGGAGGCAGAGGTTGAGTGAGCCGATTGTGCCACTGCACTCTAGCCTGGGCGACAGAGCAAAACTTGGTCTCAAAAAATTACAAGTTATAGGCCAGGCGCGGTGGCTCACACCTGTAATCACAACACTTTGGGAGGCCAAGGCGGGTGGATCATGAAGTCAGGAGATCGAGACCATCCTGGCTAACGTGGTGAAACCCTGTCTCTACTAAAAATAAAAAATTTAGCCGGGCGTGGTGGCGGGCGCCTGTAGTCCCAGCTACTCGGGAGGCTGAGGCAGAATGGCCTGAACCCAGGGGGCAGAGCTTGCAGTGAGCCGAGATTACGCTACTGCACTCCAGCCTGGACGACAGAGCGAGACTCCGTCTCAAAAAAAAATTACAAATTATCAGGCCGGGCGTGGTAGCTCATGCCTGTAATCCCAGCACTTTGGGAGGCCGAGGTGGGCGGATCATGAGGTCAGGAGTTTGAGACCAGCCTGACCAACATGGTGAAATCCTGTCTCTACTAAAAATACAAAAATTAGCTGGGCGTGGTGGCATGCGCCTGTAATCCCAGCTACTCAGGAGGCTGAGGCAGGAGAATCACTTGAACCTGGGAGGCAGAGGTTGCAGTGAACCAAGATCACACCATTGCACTCCAGCCTGGGCGATACAGCGAGACTCCTTCTCAAAAAATAAAAAATAAAAATAAAAATTATCCTGCCAAGGAGAGTAACACTCAAAAACTACAATGAAACAAGAATTTGCAATTTGTAAGCATCTAGCTTTTGCCAGGCACAGGTGAAAGAAGTTTAGGGAAGCCTCCCTTAGATTATTACCTTTTTTCCTAGGTAATAACCATCTTCTTCTATAAGGACAGAGTGAGACTTTGAGAGGTAAGAAATGAGTTGAGGCCAAAGTTCTACAAGACATTAAAGGAGCCTAGTGGAAAAGTAGGTCCTAAGTAGGATAGACCAGAGGGCTCAGGAAATTAGTTCCAGCTATCAAATCATGATAGCTACAATGCCCTGGGCACTGATATCATGTATGGCTTGTGGTGGTTTAAAACATGCCTACACATTCCTTGACATTCCTCCCACATAGAGGTGGAGTCTAAGTTCCTTTGCTTTGAATATAGGGTAGCCGTGCTGACTCCTTTCTAAGGAACAGAATGTGGCACGTGGTAGAACTGATTCCAGGGCTAGGTTAGGAAAGGCAATACAGCAACTATATGGCTTTCTTGTTCGCTCTCTGAACACTTGCCCTTAGAATCCAGCCCTGATATTTCAAGGAAGCTCAGACACAGGGAGAGGCCATGTGTAAGTGTTCCAGGGACAGCTCTAATGGTCCCAGGTCCTAGCTGACAGCCACCATCAACCACCAGACATGTACGCTTTTACGGGACCCTCAGCCCCAGCCTTTGGGCTGCCCCCACTGGTGCTGAATGGATCAGAAACCAGCCGTCCCAGCAGGAACCAGCCCATTTTGCAGATTTGAGAGCAAAATATAATTGGAATTCTGGGGTGGTTTGTTACGTAACAGTAGGTAACCAGAAATCCATAATTTCCGGGTTTCTAGTATTTTCTTTTTCAAGAAAGCTCAGGTGTGGTGGCTCATGCCTGTAATCCCAGTGCTTTTGGAGGCTGAGGCAGGAGGATCACTTGAGGCCAGGAATTTGAGACCAGCCTGAGCAACATAGCAAGATCCCGTCTCTGCAAAAAATCGTTAAAAATTAGCCTGCTGTAGTGGCAGGAGCCTGTAGTCCCAGCTATTTGGGAGGCTGAGGCTGGAGCAGTGAGCTATGATTGTGCCATTGCTTTCCAGCCTGGATGACAGAGCAAGACTTCATCACCCCCAAAATAAAATAACCAGAGCAGTGTTTTTAATGTTATCTTTAATTCCCTCTGCAAGCCTAAAAAGTAGGTATACTGCGATCCCTTTCGGAAAAATGAGGAAAGGGAGATCCAGGTGGTGAAATGCCTGGCTCAGGTTTCACACTAATTGGCAGGGTCAGGATTTAGCAGCTTCAAAGAACGGGCCTTCTCCACTACTCCAGGGAGTCTCCAAGACACTAAAGGGGATTAGACCTGTTTCCCACAGCTTTAGGAAGAATTTGGATTCCAAAAACAGCTTGATTGTTAAAATAATAACATCTGTATTATCACCTGCAACGTGTCTCTGTATAGGCTTAAAAAGGCTCAGCAGCTTTATGGGTTATATATGGTTTTTTACCCACCTTATCCTGTTTAATCTTAACTGCCCCATGAGCAGGTTATATCATCTTCGCAATTTCACAGGTAAAACTAAGAATCAATAGACTAACTCTCCATAGCTTGTAGGAGGTGGCAGAGATGAGAATGCAAACTCAGGCCTGATGTGCAAGTGTTTCCCTCTGCCTCTTGCCTGTAAAAAAACAGTTTGTAAGAAACACACTTTATTCAGTAATACAAACGAAAAGTTTTCTGTTGCCAAGATTCACAAGAAGGGAGCTGAGTTAGTGGTCACTCACTGCCCAACACCCTAATTTCACAAGTGAAGTGAAGTTCCAACAAAGTAGGCCTCTTGGAAGAAATGTAGACGTTGCTGTCCTTTAACCAGGAAAATTGCGTTCTCGGGACTTCACGCCTATGTATCGCTTCACACCAACGCTGCGCAGTACCACAGGGCAGAAATGGGTGCTTGTGGTATTCCAGCACATAGGACTTCCTCCCCAGGATGCAGTTACCCACACTGCTCACATATTTGCATTTCTGTGGCCCCCTGTCAGCCTGAGTCTGCACTACGTGGTAAGCACTTGACATTCGCCGTCTCATTTCCCCAACTCCACTCGCACTTCCCCTTTCTGTGCAGGCTAAGGACAGATTCAGGTTACCGGAGGGAAACAACATTTCAATGAATTTGTTAGTCGCCTTTATCGCTATCAAAGCCAATCGTGACAAGTTTGTCTTTTAATGCAGCAACCAGTACTCGCGCATAAGCCTCATAGATTTACAGAGGCCATTTTAGAAACACGACCGAAACTTAGGTTAAGTCAGCTTTGCCTAAGATCACGCCACTCGCAAAACAGCTGAGGTTCGAACCCGCACTGGGAAGGCTCGGAAGACCCCAATCTCCTATCTCAAATTCCCACTGCCGAAGCCCCACGGTTCTCTGCCTATGCGAACCATGCAAATACAGCGGTCGTCGCGCCACAGGCCGTGCTAGCCGCCAGCCCAGCCCCATCTAGCCACCGCCTCCGGGAGAGTGGCGTGCCGCGAGTCGCGGGTCCCAAGTGCCGTCCGCTCTGCCCTGCAGCGCGCGTGGGAACGCGGCGGCGGTGGCCTCTGGGCTGCCCACGGCGACCGCCTGCGCGCACGGGAGCGGGTTTCCGCTATCCCCACCGTGGCCTCCTCCTCGCCGCCACCACCTTCCCACCCCCCGGCCCGCGCAGGGGCTGGCGTCCGGGAAGCGCGCGGCGATGCTTCTTTTTCGCCCGGCACCGCTGCAGCCACCTCACATCCGGGCGCGCGGCGGGGAAGGCGGCGCCGGGGCCAGGGTGCGTGGAGGGAGTTATTAAGGGGGAGGGGGCCGAAGAGGAGGGGCGGAGGGCCGGGCTGCAGTTACGGCGGCTGAAGAGAGACAGCCCAAGCCGGTCGGGGTGGGGGCGCGAGAGCGAAGGCTGCGGGGAGCGGCGCTGGGACCGGTGCGGGCAGCGGGGAGGGGAGCGGCGGCCGAGGCAAAGGGCCGCCGAGCGGCGGAGGCACCGAGTAAGGGTCGGCGGCGGTGGCGGCTGGGTCCGGGGCACCGCGCGCCCGGTGCTCCCGGGTGTAGAAGGGGCGCGGGCGCATTGCTCCCGGGGTCGCGTGCGTGAGCGCGGGCGCCGGGGCGCCCGCAGGGGGTGGGCAGGGGCGCGAGGCCCGCAAGGCGGCCGGCGGGTAGCCGGCGGGCTGGCTGGCGGGGACCGAGCCGCCGGGCCGGGGAGGACGGCTGCGGGCCTGCGCTAGCTCCAGCTTGAAGCGCCCGGGCCGGGAGATTCGGCCTCCCTCCTCCCTGCGGCCGGCCGCCCCTCAGTGAGTACGGTCTCCGCCCTTCCTCCGAAGGAGGCCGCTGGGCCCGGGCCTGCGTGAGGGGCTGCGGGTTGGGGTCGCGGCCCGGGGAAGCCAAGTTTCGGAGCTGAAGCCGGTGCTCGCCCTTTCCTTGCCATCGGCGCCCCTGACATGGCCACAGGTGCGGCTGGCCTGGCGAGGGGCGCTCGGGCCCCGTCCCCAGTCCCTGATCGCCGGATAACAAGGGGCAGCTGGCGCCGTCCATTGGCAAGTGACAGGCACTTTCCAACAGACTTCGCGGGTTCCCAGCCTAACCAGTCTTCTACCTGCCCCCACTCCGGGAAACTTCCCCACCAGTCTTGAAAGATCCCCATGGGTGGCAGCTACTAATCTTGGTTTCTCTTGTGTTAAAGCTGCTTAAAGGTTATATACCTTGAATTGGGCACCTTCTACTTTTTACCATGTTGATGCTTAGGATACTAGGAAAGAGAACTGAGTACCAATGATTCTATCTCCAAGTTCTAATTTATAGCATAATTTTGGGGTGGGGACTTGTTTTTAACACTAGCTGTTTTGAGAGATTAAAAAGTTTCAGCTTCTGAAGAAACAGCCAAGATTTCTGAAAACTTACTGTTCTCGGTGACAATTTTGTGCCGATTTATCTTCCAGGTGCAGAGCATTGTAGACCAAGGAGCCATGGATAGGAGAAGTATGGGTGAAACAGAAAGTGGAGATGCTTTCCTTGACCTGAAGAAGCCTCCTGCCTCCAAATGCCCCCATCGCTATACAAAAGTAAGGTTTGCCACTAATGAAATAGTGTTTCTTTTTAGGTGGCGAAGTTAGTAACATTGTATAACTATTTCATTCCTATTAAGTGGTAATCTCATTCTGACTCACTACATGGACTAAATATTAACTAAATTTAGTAGTGCATTACTTTGAACATTTTTCTGCAAGTGTAGATACCCAGCGTTTAAGCTGGAATTTGCTTTGAGAGGCTTTTAGGTGAAGGGAATGTAGGCTTAGATTTTTTTAAAATTGCGGATCAGTATACTTTGTAAGTTCTGTAACAGCTATGTAATTGGTACGTTTATTGATTTACATACTGTACTGTGAGGATTAAAGCCCTAGGATGCGTTACAAAGTTAGTGTCCTCTGTATTGATGTTTCCTTAAGAGGCAGACTCCCCATAGGAATGCTCTTGAGTGTGCTTTTCATGGGTAACTGGCTTTTCAATCCTGTTTTTTTATTTTCTATTACAAATTGGATATGGACTCAAAAAAGTAAGGCTTCAGTCATATTTCCCCTAGCTAAAAACTGGAGATGCTTAAACTGCTTGTCCAGATAACTGCTTTTGGGAGAGAGAGGAAGTCATATTTATTAAAGATCTTGCATCAGTACATGTCTTGTTGGCTACTGAATGTTTTTGAAGAGGTTGACAGGACTCAAATTGTAAATTCATTTCTGGGTCCCTGAAATGTGTCAGGCTGGATCCCATAAAACTTGCTCAACAGTGTTGAAGCAGTTGGGACCACTGATGACAAGAAGGGTTATATCCTAGTTGGGCACACATCCATATATTTCCTTAGTATGGATTTTTCTTTTTTTTTTTTTTTTTTTTGCACCCGACAGGGCGTCACTTTGTCGCCGAGGCTGGAATGCAGTGGTGCAATCATGGCTCACTGCAGCCTGGACCTCCCGGGCTCAAGCCATCCTCCCATCTCAGTCTCCTGAGTAGCTGGGACCACAGGCGTGCACCAGTACGCTCGGCTAATTTTTGTATTTTTTATAGAGATGGGAATTCGCCATGTTGCCCAGGCAAACTCCTGGGCTTAAGCAATCCGCCCACCTTGGCCTCCCAAAGTGTTGGGATTACAGGGGTGAGCCACTGTGCCAGGCCTCAGTCATTGACTCTGACATGGCTTATTGTCCCTGGCTTCCTGGGATACTGATTGGTTAATGCTTTAAAGCCAGCTCTTGTTTGTGTTCTGGTGCACTACTCTTACCTACTTGATAAAGTATCAAATACTGTCAGATTAATACTCATTTTCAGCACTGAAGGAAACTGAACTGCAGTAAGAGAAATGTTTTCAGGTGTAAAGTGTTCTTGGTTGATTGCTCTCTTAGGATGATCTGTTTTGGTATGACAGCATGTAAGTTGATAGAAAACTTTTTCCACATTCAGATTTGGTCTTCCCAAATATATTTTCTCTCAAACCTGAGAGTGTTTGAGTAGTGTTTCACAACTTAAATTCATTTCCTAAAATGCTGACAGGTGAATTCTGAATGGAGAAAAGCCATCAAATGAAGGGAAAAGAAAATCTTCCAGTACTTTTTTTTTTTTGAGATGGAGTTTTACTCTTGTTGCCCAGGCTGGAGTGCAATGGCACCACCTCTGCCTCCTAAGTTCAAGTGATTCTCCTGCCTCAGCCTCCTGAGTAGCTGGGATTACAGGCACGCGTCAACATGCCCAGCTGATTTTTTTTTTTTTTTTATAGTAGAGACGGGGTTTCTCCATGTTGGTCAGGCTAGTCTCGAACTCCCAACCTCAGGTGATCTGCCCGCCTTGGCCTCCCAAAGTGCTGGGATCACAGGCGTGAGCCACTGCGCCCAGCCGTTCCAGTACTTATTTTTTTGTTTCTTTGAGACGGAGTCTCGCTCTATCACCAGAGTGCAATGGTGCGATCTTGATTCACTAGCCTCTGCCTCCTGGGTTCAAGTGATTATCCTGCATCAGCCTCCCAAGTAGCTGGGACTACAGGCGTGCGCCACCATGCCCAGCTAATTTTTGTAGTTTTAGTGGAGACGGGATCTTGCCATGTTGGCCAGGCTGGTCTTGAAATCCTGAACTCAAGTGATTCACCTGCCTCAGCCTCCCAAAGTGCTGGGATTACACGTGTGAGCCACTGCACCTGGCCCCCTTCCAGTACTTTTTGTTTATTATTTTTTTTGAGCCGGAGTCTCACTGTGTCGCCCAGGCTGGAGTGTAGTGGTGCAATCTCGGCTCACTGCAACCTCTGCCTCCCTGGTTCAAGCGATTCTCCTGCCTCAGCCTCCCAAGTAGCTGGGACTACAGGTGCACGCTGCCACACCCAGCTAATTTTGTTTTTGTATTTTTATTTTTATTTTTATTTTTTTTTTTTTGAGACGGAGTTTCGCTCTTGTCGCCGAGGCTGGAGTGCAATGATGCTATCTCGGCTCACTGCAGTCTCCGCCTCCGGGGTTCAAGTGATTCTGCTGCCTCAGCCTCCCAAGTAGCTGGGATTACAGGCATGTGCCACCACGCCCAGCTCATTTTTGTATTTTTAGTAGAGACAGGGTTTTGCCATGTTGGCCAGGCTGGTCTCAAACTCCTGACCTCGCTGGTCTCGAACTCCTGACCTCAGGTGATCCACCCGCCTCGGCCCCCCAAAATGCTGGAATTATAGGTGTGAGCCACTGCACCTGGCCTATTTTTTTTTGTATTTTTAGTAGAGACGGTTTCACTGTGTTGCTGGTGTTGAACTCCTGAGCTCAGGTGATCCACCCACCTAGGCCTCCCAAAGTGCTGGGATTATAGGTGTGAGCCACCGAGCCTGGCCCCTTCCAGTACTTTTATTTTTATTTTTTTGAGATGGAGTTTCACTCCTGCTGCTCAGGCTGGAGTGCAATGGCACGATCTTGGCTCACTGCAACCTCCGCTTCCCGGGTTCAAGCAATTCTCCTGCCTCAGCCTCCTGAGTAGGTGGGATTACAGGCATGCACCACCATGCCTGGCTAATTTTGTATGTTGGTCAGTCCTGTCTTGAACTCCTGACCTCAGGTGATCCACCCACCTCAGCCTTCCAAAGTGCTGGGATTATAGGTGTGAGCCACCACACCCACCCTTTCCAGTATTTTTTTCACTAAAGTTCTAACCAGTAGTCTACTGGTAGAGTCCAGGCAGAGAGGCTTTTGAATCACTTTCACACACCGATCAGAGGTTAACATGTATATTTCATCTTTGTGTATGTTTCTATCTTTATGCTTACATCATTTTTAGGGAGATATTTCTCTTTCTTAGGGTAGGACTTATGTTTCTTTGCAGTAAAGATTAAGAACCTCAGTATTGTCCATTTTTGACAGTCCAGCCTCAGAATTCTGTCATACGTAGATAAATGTGCCTTGAAGAACTGGTTAAAAGCATTTTTTAGCTTAATGACAGTGGAGCTTAGATTTAAGTCTTTTCTACCAAATTAATTGGAAATAGGTTTACTTTCTACTCTTAAGAGGATTTAGTTAATGACAATTTTAGGATAGTGTTTAGGCAGTGTTAGGGTAGTGCTTTCATGGTTTTCAACACTCTAGTAATTCTATGCGGGACTTGGGGATAAAGAAGTCTTCTCCCTTTAAAGAGAGCTTGAAATGATTATGTGTTCCTAGCACTATAATAAATATGTTAGTTCCACAACTGGAATAATATTCAAACCATCCTTCTTCCTTGTCTATGTACTGAGATCAAAGTACTGGAATAAATAGACTTTAATGATGTTTCTGCCACTTCAAGTTCACGGGCTAGAAGATCTAGAAGCAGTAGAGGGAAACTGTTTTCACTGGTGATTTTGAGGTGGAGTTTCACTCTTGTTGCCCAGGCTGGAGTGCAATGGCGCCATCTCCGCTCACCGCAACCTCCGCCCCAGGTTCAACCTATTCTCCTGCTTCACCTTCCTGAGTAGCTGGGATTACAAGCATGCGCCACCACGCCCGGCTAATTTTTGTCTTTTTAGTAGTGACAGGGTTTCTCCATGTTGGTCAGGCTGGTGTCAAACTCCCGACCTCAGGTGATCCGCCCACCTTGGCTTCCCAAACTGCTGGGATTACAGGTGTGAGCCGGCCGGTGATTTTTTTTTTTTTTTAAATAGGTGGTGTATTCTGTGGAAACTTGTAGCTGTGTATGTTTACTTACAGGGTCAAAAAAACACGTTGGCCAGATGAGAGGGCCCCTTAACCATTGACCCTTCTTAGTTTAGTGTTCAGTTGCTTTCTGGGATAATGTTAGTAGTTTGTTGTTCAGAATTCGAAGAGTTTTTGTTTTTCCCCCATGAGTAGAAGAAGTATAAATGTTTTGGTCAGGTGCTTTTCAGAGTAATGTACCAGAGTTTCCTTTTGTGTGAAGACATCCTTTAGTTAGCTTGTTTCGCAAATGTTAATATGCCTGGGGGATCACCTTTAGGCCTTGGGAAAGGAATTCTGAGTGGTAAGCAGGGGTGGTCCTGAAGATTCTACTTTTTAACCCACTCCCAAGTGGTGCACATGCTGCTGGTCCACTGACTATACTTTAAGTATCAAGGCTTTGGTCTTCCTTAGAGAACTTGATAAATGGTGTTGGTGGTGTCAAGTAACTCAGATGCATAGTTATTCTTTGGGGTTCAGATGATGTTCATTGTGCTTCGAAGAATATTTTAGGACCTCAAGTTAGAGTCACATTGGGTGCATTCAGACCTACTCCTAAATCTCATTGTGGGATGGTTATAAATGGGTTTATCATATGCACCTGTTACCCTGAGGGTCTTGAACCCCTAAGTTATAAATGCTGGTCTGTTTTCTAGGCCACATTCCTAAGACCAAAAGCTATATTTTGGTAGTATCTAAGTATGCATTTTTAAAGTGATCGGATCATGTTGAAGGACTTTTGGAGGTTATAGAGTGGGGTCTCACCTGAAAGTTATGGTTTAAGAGTGGTTTAGACAGTGGTTCTCAAAGTGTGCTCCCTGAACTAGCATTAGCATCATCTGGTAACTTGTTAGAAATACAAATCTCAGGCCTCTTCTCAGTGGTATTAAAGGAGAAACTTGGGGAGTAGAGCTTAACCGTCTGCATTTAACAAGCTCTTCAGGGGATTCTGGCTCTGGTTCAAGTTTGAGAACCATTGGCTTAAGAAATGATCACCTGCTCGCTGGGTGTGGTGGCTCACACTTGTAATCCCAGCAGTTAGGGAGACTGAGATGGGAGGATTGCTTGAGCCCAGGAGTTCAAGACCAGCCTGGGCAGGATGACAAGACCCTGTCACTACAAAAAAAATTTAAAAATTAGCTAGGTATGGTGGCGTATTGCCTGTAGTCTCAGCTACACAGGGGACTGAGGTGAGAGAATCGTTTGAGGCTGCAGTGAGCCATCATCGCGCCATTTCACTACAGCCTGTGCAACAAAAAGAGACCCTGTCTCAAAAAAAAAAAAAAAAAAAAAAGATCGTCTCCTGGCAGTGGTGCTCATTCAACTTTTTCTTCACCAGAAGCCCTTGTTCACCAGTTCTGGAATATAGTACCTGCTATTCTGTTAGTGATGCCATCTTCTGCTTGAAATACAAAATAGAAATGTTTTAGGCCATCCCACTATTCAGATCCATGTGGTTTTCTTTTCTGTTTTTTTGTTTTGAGACAGAGTCTCTGTCTGTCGCCAGGCTGGAGTGCAGTGGCCCTATGTCGGCTCACTGCAACCTCTGCCTCCCGGGTTCAAGCAATTTCCCTACCTCAGCCTCTTGAGTAGCTGGGACTACAGGCGCGTGCCTCCATGCCCAGCTAATTTTTTTTACATTTTAGTAGAGATGGGGTTTCACCATGTTGGCCAGGATGGTCTCGATCTCCTGATCTCATGATCCACCCACCTTGGCCTCCTAAAGTGCTCTGATTACAGGCGTGAGCCACCACGCCTGGCCTCACATCCATGTTATTTTCGTCAAGTGAATAGACTAATCTGTTTTTTTTTGTTTGTTTTTGAGACCGCGTCTCACTCTGTCACCCAGGCTGGAGTGCAGTGTTGCAATCTTGGCTCACTGCAACCTCTGCTTCCCAGGTTCAAGCAATTCTCCTGCCTCAGCCTCCTGAGTAGCTGGGATTACAGGCACGTGCCATGATGCCCAGCTAATTTTTGTATTTTTATTAGAAACGGGGTTTCACCATATTGGTAAGGTTGGTCTCAAACTCCTGACCTCAAGTGATCCACCTGCCGTGGCCTGCCAAAGTGCTGGGATTACAGGCGTGAGCTACCGCACCCGGCCAAATAGACTAATCTTATAAAGGATACATACGTTATGCTGTTCTTCCTTTGCTCCTGTGTTTTGCCACTGATTCCTTATTAAATGACTGTCACCTGCCAGTTGGACAGGGAATAAAAGCAGAGACACTCAGAACATTCAGCTTGATACTGACCAGTGTTAAACATGCGTATTAAAGTTAAGTGAATGTTGAATTATCTTAGTTTAACTTCATGTGGAATTTTTTTTTTTTTTTTTGAGACAGGCTCTCACTGTTATCCAGGCTGGAGTGCAGTGGTACAGTTAACTCACTGCAGCCTCGAACTCTGCATTCATGCGATCCTTCCACCTCAGCCTCCTGAGTAGCTAGGACTACAGGTGTGTGTCACCACACATGGCTAATTTTTTCATTTCTTTGTAGAGATAGGATCTCATTATGTTGCCCAGGCTGGTCTCCAACTCCTGACCTCAAGCGATCCTCCTGCCTCAGCCTCCTAAAGTGCTGGAATTCCAGGTGTGAGCCACTGCATCTGGCCCCATGTGGACTCCTCATAACCTTGACTAGTTACAAAGTGGCATTATTGTAGTCATTAGTGTCTCCAGGGATCTTTAAGGGAGGCCATCCTAATTTGTGGCTGGTAGGCCAATTGGTCATAGCAGTCAGTACAGCCATGTTTGTCTTTCCTTTAAAACAATCAGGAAAATGGACAAGCAGTTGAAGTGACTGACTTGAGTCATCCTAGCCTTCTTGGATATAATCAGAAGACTTGAAGCCAATCCCCAGAGAAAAGAGTAACTGATTTAAATCCTAGGTTGAAACAGGAATCAGGTGGTCCCTTTTTCCAGTACAGAAATCTTATTTGATAACTAAATGTATCTTTTATAAACTGAGTAGTAACTCAGGTGGCATTTCTGTGACAAATTTAGGTATAAACTTCTTAAACTAATTTAAGGATACCTATTTATGTTGGAGAAGGTAGAATTATGGTATGAAAAGTCATTGGGAGGACAAGGTGGGAGGATGAATTGAGTCCAGGAGTTCACGACCAGACTGGGCAATATAGTGAGACCCCATCTCGTTAAAAAAAAAAAAAATTGCCAGAGGTGGTGGTGTGCACCTGTGGTCCCAGATACTCAAGAGGCTAACGTGGGAGGATCACTTGAGCTTGGGAAGTTGAGCTTGCAGTGAGCTATGACTGCACCATTGCACTCCAGCATGGGCAACAGAGTGAGACTCTGTCTCAAAGGAAAAAAAAATTATTCAATCTTAATGTGTCAACTGTCCAGAAAACCTATCTTACTGGAAGTTGTTAGAGCAGGCTGGCTGGCAAGACCATAGAGAATAGCTTCTGACTGCTTTTTCCTACCCGTTCCTTTTTTGTTATTGTTGAGACAGAGTCTTGCACGATCTTGGCTCACTGCAACCTCCACCTCCCAGGTTGAAGTGATTCTCCTGCCTCAGCCTCCTGAGTAGTTGGGATTACAGGTGTGTGCCACCATGCCCAGCTGATTTTCTTTTTTTTAGTAGAGACGATTTCGCCATGTTGGCCAGGATGGTCTCAAACTCCTGACCTCAAGTGATCTGCCCACCTTGGTCTCCTAAAGTGCTGGGGTTACAGACGTGAGCCACTGCACCCGGCCCCTGCCTGTTCGGTTTTGTTTTGTTTTCAGAGGGAGTTTTGTTCCTGTTGCCCAGGCTGGAGTGCAATGGCGTGATCTTGGCTCACCACAACCTCTGCCTCCCGGGTTCAAGCGATTCTCCTGCCTTAGCCTCCCGAGTAGCTGGGACTACAGGCGCACGCCACCATGCCCGGCTAATTTTTTGTATTTTTAGTATAGATGGGGTTTCTCCATGTTAGGCTGGTCTCAAACTTCTGACCTCAGGTGATCTGCCCGTCTCACCCTCCCAAAGTGCTGGGATTACAGGCGTGAGCCACCACGCCCGCCCAGGAATATTTCCCTTTTAATCCCCCTTCCATAAATGTGACTTATGTGAAATTCTACATAATGTCAGAAGGTCCATCAGAATGCATAGTTGTTTCTGCATAGGATTTCTGCAGAAAGAAATGGATAAGGATTTTAACCATTGTTCTTTTGGGCTTTTGTTGAGATTCATTTGCTTTCCACTTTAATAGTGATCACCAAAAGTGGGTGTTCATACTAGTAATTCCCCAATAGGTTTTGGGAGCCTTGACACATTTTCTTTAAGGAAGGCTGCTGCAACTAAGAAAATATGTTTATGCTTCCTTGGGTGTGTGGCTCTTGGGCAATTAGCAGCTTGTTCTTGCCTAGTCAGGTTTTAGTAACCTGTGCAAAAAGTGAAGTCTCAGGTATTAACTCTTATATTCGCCATATGGTAATCTTAATGAATTCATTCGTGATCAGTAAGTTCCTATGGGTTAAGACTTTCCAGGCTAGGCACAGTGGCTCACACTTGTAATCCCAGCACTTTAGGAGGCTGAGGCAAGATGATCACTTGAGCCTAAGAGTTCAGACCAGCCTGGGCAACACAGCAAGACCTCATCTCTACAAAAAATTTTTTAAATTAGCTGGATGTGGTGGCATGCACCTGTAGTCTTAGCTGCTTGGGAGGCTGAGGCAAGAAAGATCACTTGAGTCCATGAGTTTTGAGGCTGCAGTGAGCTATGATCATGCCACTGCACTCCAGCCTGAGAGTGAGAACCTGTCTCAAAAAAAAAACTCCAAAAGGATAGATTAAAAAAAAAAAAAAAAAAACACCTTTCCAAAAGGGTAATATCACATCCTTTCTTGAAATACTCATAAGAAGGAAGCACTCCTAGTTAGAGTGGCCACTTCCCAAGTATTCTGTCTTTAGCCATAGTTGAACGTTTTCTTTGAAAATATCCCAAAGGGGTATTTCCACGAATAATGTTAAGGGCTCTTGATGAGATGGCAAGTTTAAGAACTCTTTTCATGCTTGCTTCGGCAGCACATATACTAAAATTGCAACAATACAGAGAAGATTAGCATGGCCCCTGCGCAAGGATGACACGCAAATTCATGAAGTGTTCCATATTTAAAAAAAAAAAAGACTCTTCTCTTGTCCAGGCATGGTGGCTCACACCCGTAATCCTAACACTTTGGGAGGCCGAGGCAAACGGATTACCTGAGCTCAGGCAGCCTGGCCAACATGATGAAACCGCATCTCTACTAAAATACAAGAAAAACATTAGCCGGGCATGGCGGCATGAGCCTGTAATCCCACCTACTCAGGAGGCTGAGGCAGCAGAATTGCTTGAACGCTGGAGGCAGAGGTTGCAGTGAGCTGAGATCGCCTTGGTGACAGAGTGAGATTCCATCTCCAAAAAAAAAAAAAAATTTCTTTCGAGAGACTGGAAGAGCTGTAGGGGTGGGGACAAGAGTCATCTGTCTATGTGTGGCACTAAACTGGGCACACAGGATATATTATGTGGACAGTTGTAAAGAGAGCAAACTTTTTTTTTTTTTTTTTTTGAAACAGTCTCTCTGTGTCACCCAGGCTGGGGTGCAGTGGTGCGATCTCAGCTCACTGCAAGCTCCGCCTCCCGGGTTCACGCTATTCTCCTGCCTCAGCCTCCCGAGTAGCTGGGACTACAGGCACCTGCCACCACGCCCGGCTAATTTTTTTGTATTTTTGATAGAGACGGGGTTTCACCATGTTAGCCAGGATGGTCTCGATCTCCTGACCTCATGATCCGCCCGCCTCAGCCTCCCAAAGTGCTGGGATTACAGGCTTGAGCCACTGTGCCCGGCCATTTTTTTGTATTTTCAGTAGAGACAGGGTTTCACTGTGTTAGCCAGGATGGTCTCGATCTCGTGACCTCGTGATCCGCCCGCCTTGGCCTCCCAAAGTGCTGGGATTACAGGTGTGAGCCACTGCACTCAGCATTTTTTTTTTTTTTTTTTTTGAGACAGAGTCTTGCTCTGTCACCCATGCTGTAGTGCTGTGGCATGATCTCGGCTCACTACAACCTCTGTCTCCTGGGTTCAGGCAGTTCTTGTGCCTCAGCCTCCTGAATAGTACCTGGGATTTCAGGTGTCCACCACCAGGCCCAGCTAGTTTTTTTATTTTTAGTAGAGACGTGGTTTCACCATGTTGGCCAGGCTGCTCATGAACTCCTGACTCAAGTGATAGCTGGTCTCGGCCTCCCAATGTTTTGAGATTACAGGTGTCAGCCAGCATGCCTGGCCCAAACTGTATTGACTTAGCTCATGGTTTCTCTCTTCCCCACTTAAGTAGGGGATCTTCTTGTGCTGGGATACCACCTTAAGCATCTTAGGATCATGCTGGAAGGTAACACATTTAGTGCTGTAAACAGTGAGGAAGTTTTCTCTCATTTTTCCCTAAATGTCCACGTGGACCTTGGGCCATATTTTGAGAAACATGCTCAGTTGGAAGCAATAATTTTTAACCTCTTGGGCATTCATTGGAAATCTTTTGAAGGTGTGAACATTCACTGCAGAAATTGCACAAATGCATCATTTTCCATATGGTTTCAAATGGGAGGTCTTACACTCCTTGACACCATGGAACTGATTTAAGAAGTCTTACTTTTCAAGAACAGTAAATACTGTTTACCTAGATGTTTACAGTGACTCCCTGCCACTTTTACAACCCAAGAGTTGTCTTGTTTCTAAGCCCATTTCTCAGTGAAGAAAATGGCTCTTTATCCTCTATGGACAGGTGAGCTATGTTTTAGCCATTGTATTTGGTCAAAAGTGCGCCCTGGCACAAATAATGTTGCTGGTGTGGTTAATGTCAGTGTGTAACTAGCTTGCTACTCTGCCTTCTGCTCTTACAGGCCTGTGAAGTTTGTACATCTGTTCACTTAAGCATCACACCTATGTATGCTAAGCATGTAAAGTCAACAACGAAAACTGGAATACGGAAGTGAAAATGAGAATTTTGTTAACTCTTCTTAACTGAGAGTAGTTGGTGTTTATCACTCTGTGATTAGAGCAATAACTCTAAGAGGAAAGATTATATTGAACAAAACATTAACTTTGAATAACCTCTCAATTTCAAATTCTCTTTTTTTGTTTTTTTTGTTTTTTTTTTTTTTTTTGGAGACAGAGGTCTTGTTCTGTTGCCGAGGCTGGAGAATCTCAGCTTACTGCAACTTCCACCTCCTGAATTCAACCAATTTCTCCTGCTTCGGCCTCTCAAGTGAGGCTGAGATTACAGGCATGCGCCATCATACCCAGCTAATTTTTTAATTTTTAGTAGAGACAGGGTTTTGCTATGTTGGCCATGCTGGTCTTGAACTCCTGACCTCAAGTAATACGTCCGGCCTCTTTTTTTTTTGAGACAGGTTTTCTGTCACTCGGGCTAGAGCGCGGTGGTACAATTACAGCTCATTGCGGCCTGGATCTCCTGGGCTCAACCAAGTCGCCTGGACAATAGGCATGCCACCATGCCCTGCCTTTTTTTTTTTTTTTTTTTGAGACAGGGTCTCCCTCAAAAAGGGTGCAGTCTTGGCTCACTGCAACCTCTGCCTCCCAGGTTCGCAATTCTCATACCTCAGCCTCCCAAGTAGCTGGGGCTACAGGTGTGCACCCCCACACCTGGCTAATTTTTTTGTTTGTTTGACACAGAATCTTACTCTGTTGTCCAGGCTGGAGTGCAGTGGTGTGATCTTAGCTCACTGCAACCTCTGCCTCCCAGGCTCAGGCAATTCTCCTGCCTGAGTCTCCCAAGTAGCTGGGATTACAGGCGTGCCAGGCTGGTCTTGAACTCCTGATCTTAAGTGATCCACCCGCCTTGGCCTCCCAAAGTGCTGTGATTACATGTGTGAGCCACCGTGCCCAGCCCATATTTTCCTATTTTTAAACTAATATCCTTTTTCTGTTCAAGGATTCTATCCAGGATACCATATTATGTTTAGTTGTCCTCTCTCTTTAGCCTCCTATTTTCCTTTTTTTAAGACTGTTACTTCTGTTAAAGTATTTTTTGATTCCTCGTCAATAGGACCAAAATTAGGCTTTTCTGGATGTTTTGTGGTTGTGTTAAAGTATTAACCTTTCCCAGGTGACTCCTAAATAAATAGGTAAAATCATTATAGAGTTCAGCAAACAGCTGTAGTGGTAATTGAGAACACCTATTGGGATCCCTGTTACCTTTGGAGTTAAAAGTTTCAAACAAAACACCACTTAGAAACTTCCCTACATTAAGAATTTACACATTTAAGCGTGAAAGATTGTCTTTGATTGAATAGCACATTAGGGTTCTTAGTATCTGCATGGGGTAGTAAGGGGATATGTGATAATCTTTAGTTACTTTTAAGAGTAAAAAATTGCTTTGCAGTGGTTTTTCCTGTAGCATTATGTATAAGTATTTCCTATATTGCAAGGTCCTTCCTGTTTCTACTAGAAAAATTTTAAGCCCTCTTGTCCTTAGGATTTCTGTGTTACAGTAATATCTGATATTTTCATAATTACTATTGCTCCATCCTCCCTGAACCCCTCCCCCCAGCCCCAAAGTTGTGCTAACCCTACAGATCTGACACCATGTTTGCCCTGAAGATTTCTCTGGAGTCTCCCGTGGTGTGTTTTGTTTTTTTCTTTTTTTGAGACAGGGTCTCTGTCACCCAGGATGGAGAGCAGTGGTGCGATCGCTGCAGCCTTGACCTCAAGTGACCCTCCCACCGCAGCCTCCTGAGTAGCGGGGACCACACTTGGTGAATTTTTTTTTTTTTTTTTTTTAAACGGAGTCTCGCTCTGTCACCCAGGCTGGAGTGCAGTGGCGCGAACTCAGATCACTGCAACCTCAGCCTCCCTACAGGTAGCTGGGATTACAGGCGTCCGCTACCACACCTGGCTAAGTTTTATATTTTTAGTAGAGACAGGGTTTCACCATGTTGGCCAGGCTGGTCTCAAACTCCTGGCCTCAAGTGATCTGCCTGCCTCAGCCTCCTATAGTGCTGGGATTACAGGCGTGAGCCACTGTGCCCGGCCCACTCGATGAATTTTAAAATATTTTTTGTAGAGACAGGTGTCTCCTTATATTGCCCAGGCTGATCTTGAACTCCTGGACTCAAGCAGTCTTCCCGCTTCAGCCTCCCAAAGTTCTGGGAGTACAGATGTGAGCCACTGGACCTGGCTGACTCCTATCTTTACTGGTGATTTATAGGTTGTATGTTCTTTGACAGTTTTTTTTCAGAATTTTGAACAGCCTTTAGGTATGTCTTTGTATTTGGAACTGTGTTTATCTCAGTCTTACAAATTTTTATTCGTATTTCTATCCAGTTATAAGACAGGTAATTGATAAATAAATCCTAAATAAATGCAAATGCCTGATTGATATCCTGGTCTTAAAACTGAAGTATCATATAGTCCTAAGGCGGCATCTTGTCCTGAAGAAAACATTTAGATGCTTCAGTTTTCTGTAAACACTAGAGAATTCATGGTATGCTATACCCAGTGATTCTTGTGGGCTGATTGAGCAAATCTGTCCCTCCATCCTCACCCCAAGATGTTGAATCAGTGATCTGAGAAGCAGTGCACATTCTCCTACTACAAGGCCTGGGATGGGAGTGTTGCCAAAGTCATGGCATAGTGGTATGTGCTTTTTTGCAAGGCAGTTGCAGCATTTTACTGGTGCTGAAAGTTTCGGAATTGCTTTTTAACTTTATTATAAAAAATATTTCAAAGTATACCAAAAGGAGGCAGTAGTTTGTTGTATATATGGGTAGATATGTGTGTTAGTGTGCATGTGTGTATATATATGTGTGTATATGTAAGTGTGTATATTTCCTAACTCTACTGAAAGGGCCTTCAAGCAAATGAGGATACCCAGTTCCCAGACCTTGGTGTTTTATGCAATTCCTCACTTAAAGAAACTAGGATTTCTCAGAAATAGCTGATTCCAGGGCTGGGACAGGATGAATACAAAATAAGCTAGAACGTATGACAGTCTTTAGGAAAAAAAAAAAAAAAAGATGGCATGTTGAAAAAGACACATGGGCCAGTTTGAAGAGGCACCCACTGGCAAAATCTGGGACAGTTTGAGCGCCACATAATTGAGGACATTAATGAGTTATAGACCAACAGAAAAACCAGGAGTCAGCCGGGCACGGTGGCTCACGCCTGTAATCCCAGCACTTTGGGAGGCTGAGACAGGCAGATCACTTGAGGTCAGGAGTTGCAGAGCAGTCTGGTCAACGTGGTGAAACTCCGTCTCTACTAAAAATACAAAAAAAATTAGCCAGCCATGGTGGTGCATGCCTGTAGTCCCAGCTATTCGGGAGGCTGAGGTGGAAGAAGTGCTTCAACCCAGAAGGCAGGGGTTGCAGTGAGCCAAGATTGCGCCAGTGCACTCCAGCCTGGGCGATAGAGCAAGACTGTCTCAAAAAAAAAAAAAGAGGAAAAACTAGGAGTCTGTGAGTCCATACCAATAATACATAGGTATATAAACAGGGGAAAGGAGGACTTGCCTTTACAGTATGATGCCAAGTGCTGGCTGGTAAATATGGAGAGTGGAGAGAGGGCTAGAGTGGCAAAATGAAGAGTGGTTTGGTCAAGAATCATTAATGGATGCTAACTTTAGTGGAAAACTGAAGACCAAGATATTTGGGTGATTTTAAAGTGTCTCCCCACAGATTGCATGCTAAATGCAAATGGGAAAGCAGTAACTAAATAGTAGAGAAACTAGAGAATACCTTGACCAAATGATCCAAATTAGCACCATAGATAAAGGACAGATGAACATCATGGCCTCCAGAAGTGACGGTCTGTGAAGGACACAGCACCTCTTCAGTTAGTATTCTGCCCCATGGATATTTAGGCTCAGTCTATCATGAGAAAACATCAGACCAACCCAAAATGAATAATGTTCTTTTACAGAAAGGGACTATATTTTCTAGAAATGTCACTATCATAAGAGACAAAAGTTGTAGAAATGTTCTAGATTAAGGGAGACCAAAGAGATACAACAATCAAATATCTGATTCTAGACTGGATCCTGTTTTGGAGGGGGAAGATCAATATAAAGGACATTACTGGGTCAATTTACAAAACTGGAATTGGGAAGGTAGATTAGAAAAAAGTATTATCAATAGTTGTAGTTATAAAAAAAACTGGCAGTTCTTCTCAACTTGGGTCTGCAGAAGTCTTCATGCCCTGAGGCATCCGTTATATGTGAGGGATTAGCCTCTCTCCTGTGCATACCAGCTAAGTACATCCTTGAGAGAATGGGAAAATAGTTCACTCAGGTCATTTTCTGTAGGGCTAAATTCTCTCATGGAGCTGGATAACAGGCTGTAAAGGAATATCTTCATTCTTAGGAAATAGGCACTGCAGTATTTAGGAGTAAGGCATCATGACTTATGCAATTTACTCTCTAGTCAAAAAAAAAAAAAAAAAGCTCGCTCATATGTGGAAGCCAAAAAAACTTGGCTTCGTGGAGATAGAGAATAGAATGATAGATACCAGAGTCTGGGAAAGGTGTGTGGGTGGGATGGCAGAATACAAAGAGGTTGGTTATATGGATACAAACATGCAGTTGAAGGAGTAAATTCTAATGTTTGATAGCAGAGCAGAGTGGCTGTGGTTAACAAGTGTATTGTATATTTCAAAACAGCTAGAAGGGAGGACTTTAAATGTCTCCAAAACATAGGAAGGATAAATACTTGAGGTAATTGACACCCGAGATATCCTGACTTGATCATTACACAGTTTATACATGTAACAAAATATCACATATACCCCATAAGTGTATACAAATGTCTGTATCAATTTTTTTAAAATTCTGCAAAAAAGTAAATGATAAATAGGGAGAAATGTTAATAGGTACATAGTATATGGATGTTTTTTGTGTTTTTTCAGTCTTGCAACATTACATTTAAAAAAAACTATCGCCCCCCGGCCCGGTTGCTCACACCTGTAATCCCAGCACTTTGGGAGGCCGAGGCGGGCAGATCGCCTGAGGTCAGGGGTTTGAGACCAGCCCGGCCAACATGGCAAAACCCCGTCTCTACTAAAAATACAAAAATTAGCCAGGCATGGTGGCGTGTGCCTGTAATTCCAGCCACTTGGGAGACTGAAGCAAGAGAATTGCTTGAACCCAGGAGGTGGAGGTTGTAGTGGGCCAAGATTGTGCCACTGCACTTCATCCTGGGCTACAGAGTGAGATTCCATGTAAAAAAAAAAAAAAAAATCCCCTTGTAAGTTGTCATCTAATGCATTGAAAATTGGTAAGATTAGGCAGAGGTTTTATCTAACACTAAAGTTTCCTTGCCTTGATGAGCTTTCAGTGTTACGAAATGTTATTCAATAGCAATTATGAGAGATTGTTTTAGCCAGAAACTGATCACTTTTAAGTTACTGGATTATTCTGCTTGAGCTTGTGAGAACCTCAATGTACTCCAGTCCTTTCTGAAATAAGGCAAGATGTAAATAAGAATTGTGTGAAGTGTTTAAGATGGACACTTAGAATTATTCAGAACAGAAGTTTAAAGTGTGTGGCCTAAGAAATGTAATTCAAAATGACTATTTGACTTCTCTTTTTAGGAAGAACTCTTGGATATAAAAGAACTCCCCCATTCCAAACAGAGGCCTTCATGCCTTTCTGAAAAATATGACAGGTATGTGTGTCATTCTAGTCCTTAACTACTTCTAGTCAATAACTTTTTGTTATACCAAACTTGGTAAATTAAGAATTGTATTGTTTTGAAGTTTTCTGGTAGAATTATAAGTGAAAGAGGGATTTCGAGAGGTAATAAGATGGGTTTCAACTACCTAGGAATGAAACTAAAATTAAAAGATGACCTGGTCAGAGTCACATAGTCAGAAAGCAGAATTAAGACTTGAACCCGACAGGGCATGGTGGCTTATGCCTGTAATCCCAGCACTTTGGGAGGCCAAGGCAGGCGGATCACGAGGTCAGGAGATCGAGACCATCCTGGCTGACATGGTGAAACCCCATCTCTACTAAAAATACAAAAAATTAGCCAGGCGTGGTGGCGTGCGCCTGTAGTCCCAGCTACTCGGGAGGCTGAGGCAGGAGAATGGCATGAACTCGGGAGGCGGAGCCTGCAGTGAGCTGAGATCGCACTACTGCACTCCAGCCTGGGCGACAGTGCGAGATTCCGTCTCAAAAAAAAAAAAAAAGACTTGAACCCAGGAGTCCTCACCAGGGTCTTGTCCTCTACCAGTGGTTTTTTGCACTGTACTTTGAGGGTACCTGCCTCAGGTATGCTGCTCAGGGGCGCTCTTGGTTCTTTTTTTTTGCATTCCCACAAAAAACTATTCAGCCGTTCAGATTAGCTTTATTTCATCCTAGTTTCCCTCAGAAGAAGAAGGCTTTGGTTTGGGAAGACTATAGCTAAAAATGGTCTGAAAATCTCCTACAATAATCCTATATTGTACTACTTATGGCCACCTTAGTCATTTCTTTTCTTTTTTTTTTTTTGTCCGAGACAGAGTTTCACTCTTTTTGCCCAGGCTGGAGTGCATTGGCGCGATCTGGGCTCACTGCAACCTCCACCTCCCAGGTTCAAGCGATTCTCCTGCCTCAGCCTCCCGAGTAGCTGGGATTACAGGCACCCACTACCACGCACAGCTAATGTTTTTGTATTTATGGTACCTATGGTACTATAGTGCCTATAGTCCCAAGTACTCAGGAGGCCAAAGCGAGAGGTTTGCTTGAGCCCAGGAGCTTGAGGATGCAGTGAATTATGATTGTGTCACTGCACTCCAGCCTGAGCAACAGAGATCCTATCTCAAAAAAAAAAAAAAAAAAAGTCCTATTTAACCAGGAAATTGAACATTAATATGATGCTTTATATGTTAAAAAAAATGTAGGCTAATACTAATATAAACCATCTACCTTGATATTTAAGAGATGATGGGCCAGGTGCAGTGGCTCACACCTGTAATCCCAGCACTTTGGGAGGCCAGGGCGGGCAGATCACAAGGTCAGGGGTTTGAGACCAGCCTGGCCAACATGGCGAAACCCTGTGTCTACTAAAAATACAAAAATTAGCTGGGTGTGGTGGCACATGCCTATAGTCCCAGCTACTCGGGAGGCTGAGGCAGGAGAATCGCTTGAACCCGGGAGGTGGAGGTTGCGTTGATCCTAGACTGCGCCATTGCACTGCAGCCTGGGCAACAGAGCAAGACTCCATCTCAAAAAAAACAAAACAACAACAACAAAAAAACCTGGATGCCTCATACCACATTCCCTGATGAAGGTGATACTTGATACTTGAATAATGGCTATAGCCAATTAGTTAGGATTTTTCTTTTTTTTTTTTTTTTTTTTGAGGTGGAGTTTCGCTCTTGTTGCCTAGGCTGGAGTGCAATGGCGCAATCTTGGCTCACCACAACCTTCCCCTCCCGGGTTCAAGCGATTCTCCTGCCTCAGCCTCCCGAGTAGTTGGGATTACAGGCACCCACCACCACACCTGGCTAATTTTTATAGTTTTAGTAGAGACGGGGTTTCACCATGTTGGCCAGGCTGGTCTCGAACTCCTGACCTCAGGTGATCCACCCACCTCAGCCTCCCAAAGTGCTGGGATTAGCAGGCATGAGCCACTGCGTCTGGCCTACAAAATATATTTTTAAAAATTATCTGGGCATGGTGGCACCTGCCTGTAGTCATAACTACTCAGGAGGCTGAGATGGGAGGATCACCTGAGTCCAGAAGTTTCAGGCTGCAGTGAGGTATAATCATGCCACTGCATTCCAGCCTGGGTGACAGAACTCTGAGACCCTGTCTGAAAAAAATAAAAAAGTTATCCTGGGCAGACAAACAGCTTTTATTTCTGAAGCAGAGACATTGTGCCTGGTGGTAAAAATAAGAAAGAGGAGAGAGCTTCTCATTTCCTTTCACCTCTCTGAGAACTAAAATTTGTTGGGCTCTTAAATGCTAGATAATCCTCACCACTACCCTAGAAGGTAGGTAGTATATATTTTATTGTGAGGAGTTTGAGACTGAAAAGCTAACTCACTTATTCAAGAAATGTTCATTGGTACCTGCTATGTCATAAATACTGTGCCAGATTCTATAAAATATTCCGTGGCTTCATGGGGCATTGGTCTATGGAAGGATATAATCAAATACTTGTAAAAATTTATCATTGCAAACATCACAGGCTGCAAAGGACAAGTGTGAAGTACGTTGCTAGTGTATAGCATGGCCTGGTCTAATCTGGGGGCTGGGAAGTTCTTTCTGCAGAAGATGCAGCTCAGTAACTTGTCCAGGATGTTCCCAGTAGTGGTGGCAAAACTAGAATTAAAGCCCAGATTTTGGGCTCCAGAGTTTCTGCTCGTGCACAGTACTACCCACCACCCCATCATTACACAGAGAATAAAATAAAACCTAAACTACACATTTTAGGTCGTAAGAGCTGTTTGCCCTGCTTGTGGAAAAACTAAGACTGTGCATAGAAATTCTGGAAAAATACACATCAAATGATCCAGGTGCTACTTCTGGTGAGAGAGTTAAGGGACTCTTTTTTCTCCTTTGTATTAGTCTTCAGTAAACAACAGTTAATATTTATGGAACATCTTCTTTGTATAGTACAGGCGTAGTTATTGTAATCCATGTGCATGCCAAGGTATATGGTCTGAATGTTTCAATTGTGTACAGACCATTAGTTTTCAAGTGACTGTTGGTGTTGTGTGATCAACAACAAAGCATTACTGAATTAATAGATGTTTTTGTTTTCATATTAAAAGAGGTAACAATTCTGCAGGCAGTCATGAAGCTTTATTTTAGAAATGGGTTTCTGGCTGGGCGTAGTGGCTCACATCTGTAATCCCAGCACTTTGGGAAGCCAAGGCAGGCAGATTACTTGAGGTTAGGAGTTAGAGACCTGGCCTGGCCAACTGGTGAAACCCCATCTCTACTAAAAATACAAAAATTAGCAAGATGTGGTGGTGGGCACTTGTAATCCCAGCTACTGGTGAGGCTGAGGCAGAAGAATCACTTGAACCTGGGAGGCAGAGGGTGCAGTGAGCTGAGATCACGCCACTGCGCTCCATCCTGGGCGACAGAGCGAGACCCTGTCTCAAAAAAGGAGAAATGGGTTTCCATAACTATTAGCTGAGGAGGTTTAGAAATCACACTGCCTATATGGTTCATGGGCGTAAGTGCTAACAGTTGTATTTTTTGACCTGTAGTGATGGTGTCTGGGACCCTGAGAAGTGGCATGCCTCTCTCTACCCAGCTTCAGGGCGGAGCTCACCAGTGGAAAGTCTGAAGAAAGAGTTGGATACAGACCGGCCTTCCCTGGTGCGCAGGATAGTAGGTGAGCACACAGTCACTCAGAAGTGGGGTTAGTGATTTTGGGGACATGCTTTTGCCTGCTGGTTTCATTCTTAGCTCTGAGAATTTTATGCTTTGAGGGGAAATGTCATTATCAGGAAACTGATTTATCGGTTGGATTTTTCCTAATCAGCAGGGTAAAGTCATAGTCTACTTTGTCACAGCTATATAAGAAGACTGTTAGGCTGTGTGCTTCTGAATTAAAAGTACCGATTATCTTTCACTGGCATGGATAACTGAGTTAGATGTGGTGGGTAGCATAAAGCTGTGCTGGAAATCTCATTATGCTTTCTTTCATATGTGAGACCAGTCCTCCGGTATAAATTAGTTCTGGCAATTCTTTTTTTTTTGTTCTGTTTTTTTTTGAGACGGAGTCTTGCTCTGTTGCCTAGTCTGCAACCTCTGCCTCCTGGGTTCAAGCAATTCTCTGCCTTAGCCACCCAAGTAGCTGGGATTACAGGTGCCTGCCACCATGCCTGGCTAGTTTTTGTATTTTTAGTAGAGATGGGGTTTCACCATCTTGGCCAGGCTGGTCTTGAACTGCTAACCTCGTGATCCACCCACCTCGGCCTCCCAAAATGCTGGGATTACAGGCATGAGCCACTGCGCCCGGCCTAGTTCTGGCAATTCTTAATTCATAGTGGACTGTGATCGGAATAAAGGCTTGGATACGGTTTGAGACTGAAGTTAAGTCTGATCTTCCAACTTTCCTAGTTTAAAGTTTACCCCTTTAGAAACGTTGTTTAAGGGTGAAATGGAGACCAGGTAATATAAAAGCAGTCAAGGAACTTGTTGCAAGAACTTTTTTTGAGATGAGAGGACGACTCATCATAAAAACTTGGAACTAAACGAAAAAGATAGCCCGGCTCTAGTTTAAGCTATAAGACCCTTCTACACAGTCTGTCAGTACACTCAGTACAGTAATGTCTCTCAAAGAATTTATTCTAGCAGAATCATTAAAGATATGCAGAGACTTTATTAAAATGATGAAAACTGAGAAGGAACCTAAATATCCAACAGTAGAAATGGGTCGCGTAAACTTCGGTGTATCCATATATGGGAATGTTACATTGCATTGTCCTGTAAAACCATGTTGCAGATGTGTTTATTGGCAAATAATGTTCATGACGTACTGACTCATAGAAAACTCTCCATATTGTATCCTGTGTTTGGAAAAAACAGACTGCACAGAAATTCTGTAAAAGTACACAACAGAACATTCTAGGAGCTGTTTGTGATAACAGAATTAAAGCAGATTTTTCTCACATGGACTAATCTTCAGTTTCCTGGTTTTTCTAGGAAGACATTTTTTGTATGGTGACATGTTTGTTCTTCCTACACCAATAAATTTATTGAGATAGAATTTACATATAGCCTGCACAAAAAGTATACCATTTGATGTCTTGACATGTGTATATACCTGTGAAACCGTTACCAAAATCAACATAAGCATTTTTATCACCCCCAAAAGTTCCCTAGTATTCCTATGTGTCCCTCCCTTTAGCTGCCCCCCCCACAACACTTCCCCCTTCCCAAGCAAGCGCTGATTTGCTTTGTTTTTTTTTGTTGTTTTTTTGAGACAGAGTCTCCCTCTGTTGCCTAGGCTGGAGTACAGTGGCGTGGTCTCTGCTTACTGCAACCTCTGCCTCCCAGGTTAAAGCGATTGTCTTGCCTCAGCTTCCTGAGTAGCTGGGATTACACATACACGTTCCACCGTGCCCAGCTAATTTTTTTTTCCCCCCACCGAGACAGAGTCTTGCTCTGTCACCCAGGCTGGAGTGCAGTGGCGCGATCTCGGCTCACTGCAACCTCTGCCTCCCGGGTTCAAGCGATTGTCGCGCCTCAGCCTCCCAAGTAGCTGGGATTATAGGCGTGCGCCACCATGCCTGGCTAATTTTTGTATTTTTAGTAGAGACAGGGTTTCACCATGTTGGCCAGGCTGGTCTTAAACTCCTGACCTCAAGTGATCCACCCACCTCAGCCTCCCAAAGTGCTGGGATCACAGGCATGAGTCACCGTGCCTGGCCCCAATTTTTGTATTTTTAGTAGAGACAAGGTTTCCCTATGTTGGCCAGGCTGGTGTTGAACTCCCAACCTCAGGTGATCCACCTGTCTTGGCCTCCCAAAGTGTTGGGATTACAGGCATGAGCCATAGTGTCCGGACTGATCTGCTTTCTGTATCTGCTTTCTGTTTCTATAGATTAGTTTACATTTCCTAGGATTTTATATAAATGGAGTTACTATAGTATATACTCCTTGTATAGCTTTTTTCATTAAGAATAGTTACGATTTATCCACGTTGTTGAGTGTCTAGTTTATTTTCATTGCTTAATAGTATTCCATTGTATGGATTTAGCAGTTGATCCGTTTATCTGTTGATGTACATTTGGGTTGTTTCCAGTTTTTGACTGTTAAATAACCAAAGCTGCAATGAACATTCATGTACAAGTCTCTGGACATAAGCTTTCTTTTCTCTTGGGTAAAAACCTAGGATTAAAATGGCTGGGTTGTATAGCAGATGTATGTTTAACCTTCTGGGAAATTGCCAAACTGTTTTCCAAAGTAGTTGTACCATTTTACGTTTCCACCAGTGGTGTATGAGAGTTGCACTTGCTCCAACATCCTCATCTGCACTTGGAATGGTCATTTAAATTTTAGCCATTGTAATAGGCGTGTAGTAGTATCACATGGTTTAATTTGCATTTCCCTAATGACTAATTATGTTGAGTATCTTTTCATATGCTTATTTGCCTTCCACATAACCTCTTTGGTGAAGTGTCTGTTCAAACCATTTGTCTATTTTTCAATTGTGTTGGTTTTTTTTTTTTTTTTTTGAGACAGAGTCTGGCTCTTGGTGCCCAGGCTACAGTGCAGTGGTGCAGTCTCAGCTCACTGCAACCTCCACTTCCCAGGTTTAAGCGATTCTCCTGCCTCAGCCTCCCAAGTAGCTGGGATTACAGGTGCCTACCACCACGCCTGGCTAATTTTGTATTTTTAGTAGAGACGAGGTTTCACCATGTTGGTCAGGCTAGTCTCGAACTCCTAACCTCAGGTGATCCACCTACCTCAGCCTCCCAAAGTGCTGGGATTACAGGCGTGAGCCACTGGGTTGGTTTATTAAGAGATTTTATGTGTTCTGAATTTAAGTCCTTTATCAGAAAAATGCTTTGAAATATTTTGTCTCAGTCTGTGGCTTGTCTTTGCATTCTCTAAACAGTGTCTTTCAAAGAGTAGAAGTTTTAAATTTTGATCAAGCCCAGTCTATCAGTGTTTTTTAAATGGATCATGCTTTTGGTGTCATGCCTAAGAAAACTTTGCCTAACCCAGTGCCACAAGGATTTCCTCCTATATTTTGTTCTAGAAATTTTTAGTTTTAGGTTTTACATTTAGATCTGTGATCCATTTTGAATTAATTTTTGTATATATCTGTTTATATATATATATATATATATATATATTTTTTTTTTTTTTTTTTTTTTTTTGAGACTGAATCTTAGTCTTTTGCCCAGGCTACAGTGTAGCGGGGTGACTTCTGCTACTGCAACCTCTGCCTCCAGGTTCAAGCGATTCTCCTGCCTCAGCCTCCCAAGTAACTGGGATTACAGGCACCTGCCACAATGCCTGGCTAATTTTTGTAGTTTTAGTAGAGACGGGGTTTCACCATCTTGGCCAGGCTGGTCTTGAACTCCTAACCTCGTGATCCACCTGCCTTGACGTCCCAAAGTACTGGATTATAGGCGTGAGCCACCATGCCCGGCCCCAAATATAGATTTAAGTTCATTTCTTTGTCTGTGGATATCTAACCGTTCAACACCATTTTGTTGAAGAGACACTTTAACTTTTTAAGCAGTTATTTTTTCAAATACGCCTGCTGTAGTTTATTAGTTGACAAAACATTTGCTAATAATTCTTAGATAAGGATTTGGTCAAAATAAAGGCACTGCAAAGACTAATCATGGAAAATTATTTATCGTGACGTACTTCTATTGCTGCAAAGAGGAAGGCCAATGTCTCAGCCTTATTTAAATACATAATGTACATGTTACCCTGAATCTGCTGATAAGCCCAATTTTAGTGGTGACTCTCTTCCAACCATCCCCTTCCTCCCATCAGTCATGGACATACTATCTAAAAAAGAAGAAAACACCCTTGTTGGTTTGTTTAACTTTGTCTTTCCCACGTCCTTCCAGATCCACGAGAGCGTGTGAAAGAAGATGACTTAGATGTTGTTCTCAGCCCTCAGAGACGGAGCTTTGGAGGGGGCTGCCACGTGACAGCCGCTGTTAGCTCCCGGCGCTCAGGAAGTCCATTAGAGAAAGATAGTGATGGGCTTCGTCTGCTTGGTGGACGTAGGATTGGCAGTGGGAGGATAATCTCTGCCCGGACCTTTGAGAAGGATCACCGTCTTAGCGATAAGGACCTGCGGGACTTGAGAGACAGAGACCGAGAGAGGGACTTCAAGGACAAGCGTTTCAGGGTTTGTCTTTTTTTTTTTTTTTTTTTTTTAAATTGAGACGGAGTTTCGCTCTTGTTGCCCAGGCTGGAGTGCAATGGCACGATCTTGACTCACTGCTGCCTCAGCCCAGTATCTGGGATTATAGGCACGCACCACCATACCCGGCTAACTTTTTATATTTTTAGTAGAGACGGGGTTTCTCCATGTTAGTCAGGCTGGTCTCTCAAGCTCCCAACCTTAGGTGATCGGCCTGCCTCGGCCTCCCAAAGTGCTGGGATTACAGGCGTGAGCCACCACACCCGACCTGGGTTTGTCTTCTAGATTCTTTGGTAGTTCATGTGCTTGGGGACTTGATATTCACTTTTTTTATACCAGGTTACTTTGAGAACAGGCATGAACACAGCCTGCTCTTAAACCAGTCAGGGAGGAAGGGGTGGGGGTGGTGATGGGCCTCAGGTATACAGCATCATATCTTCCTTTCACTATTGAACATTACAACGAAGACCTTGACTGAAGTAGAAATGGCTTGACTAGAAATTTTTTAATCTTGCTTTATGTACTTTTCCAGAGAGAGTTTGGAGATAGTAAGCGTGTCTTTGGTGAGCGTAGAAGAAATGATTCTTACACAGAAGAAGAACCAGAGTGGTTCTCTGCTGGACCCACAAGTCAGTCTGAAACCATCGAACTGACTGGCTTTGATGATAAGATACTAGAAGAAGATCACAAAGGGAGAAAAAGAACAAGGCGACGGACAGCCTCTGTGAAGGAAGGTCAGTTCAAACTTTGGGAGGGAAGTTCGCTGTTTTAAAATGAGATGTAGGCTGGGCGTGGTGGCTCACACCTGTAATCCCAACACTTTGGGAGGCCGAGGTGGGCGGATCACCTGAGGTCAGGAGTTTGAGACCAGCCTGGCCAACATGGTGAAACCCCGTCTCCACAAAAATTCAAAAATTAGTGGGGTGTGGTGGCTGGTGCCTGTAGTCCCAGCTACTCGGGAGGCTGAGGCACAAGAATTGCTTGAACCTGGGAGGCAGAGGTTGCAGTGAGCTATCACACCACTGCACTCCAGCCTGGGTGACAGAGCAAGACTGTCTCAAAAATAAAATAGAGATGTGATTATCACTGGCTAATTGTACACTTAGGAATGGGCACCAGATGTATAGGAAATGGCAAGTTTTTCATGATGCATCCTGATTTTGAAATCTTTTTTTTTTTTTGAGACGGAGTCTCGCTCAGTTGCCCGGGCTGGAGTGCAGTGGCACCATCTCAGCTCACTGCAGCCTCCATTTCCTTGGTTCAAGCGATTCTTCCCTGCCTCAGCCTCCCGAGTAGCTGGGATTACAGGTGCCTGCCATGACGCCTGGGTAATTTTTTCTATTTTTAGTAGAGATGGGGTTTCACCATGTTGCCCAGGCTGGTCTCGAACTCCTGACCTCAGGTGATCACCCGCCTCGGCATCCCAAAGTGCTGGGATTATAGGTGTGAGCCACCATGCCCAGCCCCTGCAACTGCTTAAGTGAGGATTCACTAAGTGTAGATCATACTGTTTCCCTAACTCGTTCTGCCTGCCACACTAAACAGAAAAGTCTGAAGTTATCCTGTAAGAGGACTGTGTACATGAAAGAGTTCCCCAGAAATAAGAAACGTGGTAGAAAAATGAGAGGTCTCATTTATTGAGCAATTATGTCCTAAACACAGTGGTGAGTGTATTTTGTCTGTGTAATCCTTCATCTCCTAATGACCTTGTGCAGTGTAGGTACTTTTTTATGCCCATTTCATAGATGAGCAAATGGAGGCTCAGAGGGCTTAAGTAACTCAAGGACACTTAAGGTAGTCACCATGGAAATAAGTAGTGAAGTCAAGAGTAAAGCAAGATGCTTCTGGGCATCAGAGCCTACCTTCTTCATCATGGTATTAGGCCTTCCCAGGTCAGTTGTTTGTGATTTGCCTTCTCTCAAACTTAGTTTCAGGATGAGTACGGTGGCTCACGCCTGTGATCCCAGCACTTTGGGAGGCCAAGGCGGGTGGATCATTTGAGGTCAGGAGTTTGAGACCAGCCTGGCCAACATGGTGAAACCCTGTCTATATTGAAAATACAAAAATTAGCTGGGTGTGTTGACGCATGCCTGTACTCCCGGCTACTGGAGAGGCTGAGGCAGGAGAATTGCTTGAATCCAGGAGACAGGTTGCAGCGAGATTGTGCTACTGCACTCCAGCCTGGGAGACAGAGTTGAGACTCTGTCTCCAAAAAAACCAAAAAAACCTAGTTTCCTCAGCTGTAAGATGGGGTCAGATATCTCCCTTGCTAAACTGAAGGAGCCAGAGCTAATGTGTGTGAAGTACCTGCTGCAGAGTGGGAGCCCATTGGTCTGCAGCCAATCATTTTTTAGGGCAGTGACCTGGCTCTAAGGTGGCCAGTCCCAGGCTGATGGTCTTGGGAAGGAGGCACTGTAGAGCCAGGTGGGGACTAACCTGGGTTAAAGTACTAGGGCTCCTGCTTAGAAAAGGATAATTTTTGACAAAATTTTGACAGCTGGGCCTGTTTCTTTGTAAAGGGAAGAACAATGCCTATCATAACTTAAGGGTTACCTTTAGCATTGAAGAACACATGTACCCATCAGAACTCAGCCTCCAAGAAGGCACTCAGTAAATTCTACCTGCCTCAAGCTTTCAGGCTTAGTTGAAAGCCTTTTGGCAGATACTAGGCAACAAAAGGGGAAAGCCTTTTTTTTTGTTTTTTGTTTGTTTGTTTGTTTTGAGATGGAGTCTTGCTTTGTTGCCTAGGCTGGAGTGCAGTGGCACGATCTTAGCTCACGGCAAACTCCGCCTCCGGGTTCACGCCATTCTCCTGCCTCAGCCTCCCGAGTAGCTGGGACTACAGGCGCCCACCACCACGCCCAGCTAAATTTTTGTATTTTTAGTAGAGATGGGGTTTCACTATGTTAGCCAGGATGGTCTCGATCTCCTGACCTCGTGATCCACCCGCCTCAGCCTCCCAAAGTACTGGGATTACAGGCGTGAGCCACTGCGCCAGTCCTCTATTTTTTTTTTTAATTAATTTTCTTTTTTTTTTGAGACGGAGTCTCGCTCTGTCACCCAGGCTGGAGTGCAGTGGTGCGATCTTGGCTCACTGCAAGCTCCGCCTCCCAGGGTCAAGCAATTCTGCCTCAGCCTCCGGAGTAGCGGAACTACAGGCGCGTGCCAACACACCCAGCTAATTTTTTGTATTTTTAGTAGAGATGGTGTTTCACCGTGTTAGCCAGGATGGTCTCAATCTCCTGACCTCATGATCCACCTGCCTCAGCCTCCCAAAGTGCTGAGATTATAGGCGTGAACCACTGCGCCTGGTCTGGGAAAGCTATTTTAATAAATAAGGGAAAAATCAGTGCCACCTTAACATTTTGATGAAGACAAATATAAGCAGAAATAAGCTGATGGCATTTATTTAGAAGGAGAAGGAAATGGAGAATCAAAATACTCATCTTCTTTTGTAGTCTTCAAAATATAGTACATATTACCATTATCTTTGTGCTATCACACAGTGTTCCCTAGGATAATGTAAGAAATTGATAGGTAACTTGGAAGACTTTGCTATTAAATTGGCTTTGAGATATGTCTTTGTCTCATTCTTAATTAAAGCAGCACCCAATAAAGCACCACTTTAACGATAAAGATCAGGCTTCTGGTGAGAAAAAATTATGTTTTTCTTAAGTGAGGTGAAATCTGAATTTCAACCATTCTTGTATCAAGTGCAGGAGTCAGGAGTGAGATAGATTGGTAGTGGCACCTCCTTATTTTACAGATGCAGAGAGAAATTGAGACCTGGAGAGAAGGGATGGATTTCATGGCAGAGCCTGGAGTAGAATCCAGGGGTCTTGGTTCATCCCATTAGCTAACTACAGAATGTCTCTAGGTTGCCCTTGCTATGTATTTAAAATAAATAAAAACATTAAAAACTAAGATGTCAGATGCCTTAAATGTTAGCATCTGGCAGTTTCACTTTGTCTCCCCATCCTAAAAACAACTGAACATTGTAGAGTATACCTGGCACTACAGAGTAAGACAAAGCTGGTTAGACCAGGTTCCCTACCCTCAGAGTTTAGCCTCACCAGAGAGTTACTATTATACAGTGTGACAAGTACTCAGAGATGACATAAGGATTATAGAGAAGGTAGCAATTAATTTTACTAGGTAGGGCAAAAATGGGTAGGCAGGGCAAGCTTCCCAGAGAAGGTCACATTTGAATTTCGCCTTGAAGGATGAGCTACAACAACCAACCTGTAGGCAAGTGAAAATTGCCCTCATGCCAGGTTTCTCATAAATACCTTAGGTTGCTGAGCCCTGACTGAAAGTGGTGCTACAGGTGCATGGGCAGAAGCAGAGCTAAATTAATTTGGTTCCATTTTTAAGCAGTAAGAGACTTGCAAAGACTATCCTTTAAAAAAAAAATCACTAGAAAAAGAACTAGGCATGGTGCTGGACACAGTGGCTCACTACTGTAATCCTAGCACTTTGGGAGGCCAAGGCAGGAGGATCACTTGAGGTCAGCAGTTTAAGTCCAGGCTGTGCAATTTAGCGAGACTCAGTCTCTACAAAAAATTAAAAAATTATCCAGGCATGGTGGTGTGCACCTGTGGTCCCAGATACTCTGGAGGCTAAGGCAGGAGGATCACCTGAGCCCAGGAGGTAGAGACTACAGTGAGCTGTGATCGTGCCACTACTCTCCAGCCTGTGCAACAGAGCAAGACCCCATCTCAAAAAAAAAAAAAAAAAAAAGACCCCCCTCCACTATAGAAAATATGAAGTTCCCACGAAGGGAACCATAATCCTCCCCACATCCCATTGGTATTCTAGCTTTATTAAGGCTTTTTTCCTTTTCTGCCTCCCGTAGAAGGGGGACTGTTTTATTCTTGCAAGTACAGTACCTGCACGAGAAGTCTGCTTTTTAAGTCATGTGTGGCTCTTCTACATGTATACTGATGGCTGAAGCCACAGAGGGACACTGGAGTGATTTACTTATCAGACGGTTTTTGTCCTGGTTTTGCTTTCAGGTATAGTAGAGTGCAATGGAGGAGTGGCCGAAGAGGATGAAGTGGAGGTCATCCTTGCACAGGAGCCTGCGGCTGATCAGGAAGTGCCAAGGGATGCTGTCTTGCCTGAGCAGTCCCCAGGAGACTTTGACTTTAATGAGTTCTTTAACCTTGATAAGGTGCCATGCTTGGCTTCGGTGAGTGTAGCAGCACACTTAAAAAATGTGTGGTTAAATTTGACCTGAGTATTTAAGACATCGGTTTGAAAGTGTTGTTTTGCTAGATGCTTTTGGGGTTTTTGGCTTTTATTCTTACATATTTAAATTTTTGTTGGCTTTGTTTTGAGAGGCTTAATGGATAATATGAGATTTTTGTACCAGTTAACTCTTTTTTAAGCTGGTGGTGTTAGACTAAAAATTCTTTTTTTGTTGTTTTTTTTTTTTTGAGTTGGAATCTTACTCTGTCACCCAGGCTGAAGTGCAGTGGCACGATCTTGGCTCATTGCAACCTCCGTCTCCTGGGTTCAAGCGATTCTTCTGCCTCAGCCTCCTGAGTAGTTGGGATCACAGGTGTGTGCCACCATGCCCAGCTAATTTTTGTATTTTTAGTAGAGATGGGGTTTCACTATGTTGGCCAGACGGGTCTTGAACTCCTGACCTTGTGATCCTCCTGTCTTGGTCTCCCAAAGTGCTGGGATTACAGGCGTGAGCCACCGCACCTGGCTTTTTAAAGTTATTTTTAGAATTCCTGTTTATCACTAAGATGCTTATATTTTGGATACACTCCCCAATTTTTCACAGTGATGTATCATGCTTATCTTATATTTTAATTAATACAAAATTAGTGCACTTAAAAGTCAGCATTATTTAAGGTATGAGCATCTACAGGTGGAATGTGATTGAAATTGTCTAGATAATTCCTCTGAAAATAGAAATTCTGGAAACAATAATTAGGGTCTTGAATTAAAATCCCTTCAAAAGAAGTATATTGTGGCTTAATTTGGGTATGGATTATGAAAACATTCTTCCAGATAAGAACAAAGAATAAATCTAAGCTTCCCCTGCTTAACTTTGGAAACTGTGGGTTCCAGATTTCAAATAAAACAGTCACTAATTCTGTCATCCATGTACCAGTTTTTGAAAAAGCATGTTTTCTGTTTATCAGTGGGATTGACGTGAAAGTATATGACTTATTTTCAAGGATATGTCTGATTTTTGGATAGATGTTTGCTCTATCTTGTCTTTTCTAAATATTGATAAGAATACTGCAAAAAATCAATTTGGATATTTGACTGAATTTATGGTATGATTTGAATTGAAAAATTTTTTAAATGCTTAAATCTAGTTTTTAAGAAAGATTGGCACTATTTCATAATTTCTACCAAAGCAATTTATTGTTCATAGTGTGTTATTTAATTGTCCTTATTAAATGTAAACTATGGAGGTTGGATTTGGAAACAGAAAACACCTGAAAACTCTCTATTAATCTCAAACAGAAATTAGAGATCAGTTGAAATTTCATCTTCCACAATCATACTTTTTCTAAACTTTGACTTGGAATTACAGTCTTTATGAGCTCTGCTTTTTTAGCCTTTGGCTTCTGAAACTCTCAAGATTGAATTTCATAATGTTCATTACAACCTTGAAACCACTAAGTTTGAAGCAATGGTTTTCTTTCATCAGTTCCCCATACTTGATATTTAGTTGAAGGTCACTCATCAGCTTGTCAGTGGAATGCTGTGGCATTGACACTGTTCTCTGAGAACATTTGGTAGTACGTGGATTTACTCCTGAGGCAAAGGATAGAAACCCAAAAACCTTTTTGTAGCATAGAGGCTTTGCTTTATATTCTTAGAAAGTAGTGGTGGTTCATGCCTGTAATCCCAGCACTTTGGGAGGCCAAGGCAGGTGGATCATTTGAGGTCAGAAGTTCGAGACAAGCCTGGCCAACATGGTAAAAACCCATCTCTACTAAAAATAAAATTAAAAATAGCCAGGCATATGGTGGCGTATGCCTGTAGTCCCAGCTACTCGAGAGCCTGAGGCATAAGAATCACTTGAACCTGGGAGGCAGAGGTTGCAGTGAGCCAAGATTGCACCCCTGCACTTCAGCCTGGGCAACAGAGCGAGACTGTCTTAAAAAAATAGTAGACCGGGTGTGGTGGCTCATGCTTGTAATCCCAGCACTTTGGGAGGCCAAGGCGGGCGGATCACAAGGTCAGGAGATCGAGACCATCCTGGCTAACACGGTAAAACCCCGTCTCTACTAAAAATACAAAAAATTAGCCGGGCGTGGTGGCAGGCGCCTGTAGTCCCAGCTACTCAGGAGGCTGAGGCAGGAGAATGGTGTGAACCCGGGAGGCGGAGCTTGCAGTGAGCCGAGATCGTGCCACTGCACTCCAGCCTGGGTGACAGAGCGAGACTCTGTCTCAAAAAAAAAAAAAAAAAAGTAATAAAAAATAAAAAAGGAAAGTAAGTAGATGGTTATACTCAAGTTTGGGTTATTCAGAAATTACCCAGGATGGAGGAAGAAAAAGGTGTTCAAATTCCTAGGTTCTGAGAGTATTTATCTTCAGGTCACGAGCATGAAAGGAAGTTTCAAAGTAAGTGACCCTTTCATAAGATTTAAACCTTCTTGTCCTTTTTCATCTAGAAACTATTAGTTTTTATTGTCTTTTTCTTCAGATGATAGAAGATGTTTTGGGAGAAGGGTCAGTCTCTGCCAGTCGGTTCAGTAGGTGGTTCTCTAACCCGAGCAGATCAGGAAGCCGATCCAGCAGTCTTGGGTCAACACCACATGAAGAGCTAGAGAGACTTGCAGGTAAAATGGCTTCAGATTCTGCCCTTGAAGGTAAACCTGGGTTTTTCCCTGATATGGTTCATTTTATCTTCATTAGTCAGGAGTCAATTAGGGTCAAAGGGTCTCTGGACAACTGAAAAGCCTTCAATTTGTGTCCTTTTAATATTGTTGAAGGGGCCGGGTGCAGTGGCTCACGCCTGTAATCCCAGCACTTTGGGAGGCCAAGGCAGGCAGATCACAAGGTTAGGAGTTTGAGACCAGCCTGGCCAACATGGTGAAACCCCCATCTCTACTAAAAATACAAAAATCAGCCAGGCGTGGTGGCGGGCATCTGTAGTCCCAGCTACTCAGGAGGCTGAGGCAGGAGAATCGCTTGAAACTGGCAGGCGGAGGTTGCAGTGAGCCGAGATTGCGCCACTGCACTCCAGCCTGGGCGAAAAAGCGAAACTCCATCTCAAAGAAAAAAAAAAAAAAAAAGAAAGAAAGAAAAATACTGTCGAAGGCATGTTTCTTTACTGGAACAGATTAATTTTGAGTATGTTTATTTGCAATATCAGGTCTGGAGCAAGCCATCCTCTCTCCTGGACAGAACTCGGGGAATTACTTTGCTCCTATACCATTGGAAGACCATGCTGAAAATAAAGTGGATATTTTAGAAATGCTACAGAAAGCCAAAGTGGATTTGAAACCTCTTCTTTCCAGCCTTTCTGCAAATAAAGAAAAACTTAAAGAAAGCTGTAAGTGTTTATGAATATCTGTTTTAGATATCTGAAAAGGTCTAGATGTTCAGTCTTCAGGCAGTTGGGTCTAACATAACCTCTGTTTCATAAAAAGTCAAATATATATTGGGTTTTTGTTTAATGTTCTTTTTTAAAAACTCATTTCATCAAACAATACCACCTCTTTGAGAATCTCACAGTGGGTCATGAGCCCTATGAGAACTTTTCCTGTAAGTTCTTACCTAGGGTCTGGTTGTAATAATCCAGTGAATGTTGAAAACAAACTCCAGTGAATGTTTTATTCCTCCAGAGCATAACTTACCATTTCCTCACAAATCTGCCCTAGTCTTCCATGTTCTTGCTTAGGCTATAAATTCTCAACATAAAAACTTAGTGATATAATGACCACGGTGCAGGCAGCAATCTTGGCAATGTTGGGCTATCTGGGATTCTTGTCCCAGGTAACAAGTCTCCCAGAAGACTCATATCCTTCTGCAGGATGCACAGCAGGAGCTTGTCAAGTTTTAAAGAATAGCACTTCATAGTTGTGGTCCCCCAGTTTCTAGCATCTAAACATTTTAGGTTTAGTTTATGCCATCTCTTAGTACACAATTTGATTTTAAGTGTTATTAGTTTATTTTTGGTGTCAGTCTTTTCTGACAGTCTCATCTCAATTTTGAAATAAATTATTTTCATCTTATCTGTCATACTAGCCAAAGAGAATTCCTACCAGATATCTCTTTGCTTGATTTAACCTGGACGTTCTCAACTTCTCAGCACATTCAGGGGTTGTGCTTTCAGTGGAGGAGGTAGAAGCAGGTCTGAAGGGCTTGAAGGTTGACCAGCAAGTGAAGAATTCAACTCCCTTCATGGCAGAACACCTAGAAGAGACCTTGAGTGCCGTAACCAACAATCGACAACTGAAGAAAGACGGAGACATGACTGCGTTCAACAAGCTAGTGAGCACAATGAAGGCAAGTGGGACTTTGCCTTCTCAGCCCAAAGTCAGCGTAAGTATCTGACACAAACCCCCCACCCTTTTCTCCTTTTTTTTTCTTCTTTTTCCCACCACAATAAAAGGATTTTTAAAAAGGTATTCTGAGTAAGTTGGAAATTCTTTAGTAGTCATTTGGTCCTTGATGCTTTTGTGTGTTCCTTAATTATTGATATGCTATTTGTTACTGGAAAAAGCAGGCTTGTGGTTAATTTATATGTATTGTGGGTGACAGTATAAAGATTAAAAGATTCAGTCTTAATGGTAATGCCTGTATAACTTTAAGTCACTGCTAAAATGAGGTATAAAACTATCTTTTTGGATGAACTCCAGAGACAATTTTCTTGTTATTCAGCTACTTAAGTTCATATTCTTTACCATATTTGTATAGTAAAATCTTTATTCACATCTTCTAATTATTCCCAGATACCAGGGATTACCTGCATTCTTGCAGTCATACAAATCATTTGTAAAGTATCTAAGATGGGGCTGAGCACAGTGGCTCACGCGTGTAATCCCAGCACTTTGGGAGGCTGAGGCAGGCAGATCACCTGAAGTCAGGAGTTTGAGACCAGCCTGGCCAACATGGTGAAACGCCATCTCTACTAAAAATAAAAATTAGCCAGGCGTGGGGGCATGCGCCTGTAATCTCAGCTACTTGGGAGGCCAAGACAAGAGAACTGCTTGAACCTGGGAAATGAAAGTTGCAGTGAGCCGAGGTCACGCCACTGCACTCCAGGCTGGGCAACAGAGTGAGACTGTCTCCAAAAAAAAAAAAAAAAAGTAAGATGGGTTTGTCAGGATAATTACATTCTGTCAATTTACTAATGGAAAAAGTTGTGGCTCCAAGTTAAAAACAAAACTTGTAGGCATGAAGTTAGGTTACAAGGTGACACAACTGCATATCACCTTGTAAATGCAAATGTTTATAATATACTGGTTCTTTGTCCTAACAATTTTGAGAGGGTAGTTCTTACCCATAGCCTATGTGTTAATATCACTATCTCTTGATACAAACTAATGTGGAAGCAGGGTAGATATGAATAATAAAAACATAAACATGGACTTATTCTAGTTGCTAAGTTATAGCAAATTTACCAAATTGAGTTTTCTCTCTTTTTTTCCTGTTCCCTGCTTGCCTGGGAACTTACCAGTTAGCCAAGATGCAAGTAGCAATAGCTGTTTGAATCATTATGTCTTATACCAAAAGAAAGCAACTGACTTTTAGCATTCCTTATCTGACCAATAGGACAGACAGAGGTTCCATTATTCCTTAGTGCCAGGACTGACCTACACTTGAAAGGAGGCACCTCAGATAGGTAGACTGACTTCTTTGTATCTGACCACACCATACCAGTTGCAGGAGAATGTCCCTGTAAAACTGCTTTAGAGTTACTTTTATACAAAGAATTATTAGATACAAATGCTTTCAAATGAAGATCAGACTGAAAGATGGTAGACTATCCTATTTTCCTTTCTCGTTACATTTGTGTCTTGGTGATTGGGTGCTGACTGCAATGGTGTGGTTCATATCTTATAATTAGCTTCTTTCTTTTGGTGTGAGCAACTAAAAATATGGAAGGGGGCATTCAGCAGTTTACCTGATGTTTTTCCACATTTTATTGCAGATATGATTCTAGGATTTGATATTAACACAATTTACTCGAGTTGTAAGGGCAGTTGGTTTGATGTTGGGGTTTTAGCACTCAGAAGTGTATCTGGTTTTAGCTGAGCAAATGAGCCTCAAACACCTGCCAAACGGATGGATGACACATTCAAGTGGCTAGGCAAAGGCTAAGACAAACTCAGCTAGCAGGAAAGAATACAACAAGGAAAGTAATGGAGTAAGAATAGCAGGTGTTATCTCAAAATATTGCTCAATTTGCATGTTGTTAAGTCATGGTTTACTTTTTGAATTCGGTGTCTTTAATTACTACTGCTGTGTATGTTTTGTATACTATTTCTGATCTGCCTCCATCCATTTAGGTTGTCATATTGGTTCATCCAAAAATAATACATGCTGGTTCAATCTAAATTCTGTTTTAAATTATAGATTCTATCCTCCAAGTATAATAAGCCATGCAGTATAAAGTTGTCTATTTGTTTTTATTAGATGGAAGTAAATGACTCTTAAAGAGATTACTTATAAAATCATCTGCCTTTAGTCCCAGTTCCAAAATCAACAATAAAATACTTGGGTATTCTTGAGCTATTTGTCATGCCTAGACACTGCTTTGGACTTTGACAGCTCCATCTAGTGGAAGGGAAACTACACCAGAGAAAGCACTTCACACAGAGCTAAATGGGCATAGGGATGTCCTGAAATGCAGGAGGGGACTCCAGGTTGGATGCACAAAATGTAACCACTGGCCAGGCCTGGTGGTGTACACCTATAGTTCGAGCTACGTGGGAGGCCAAGGTGGGAGGGTTGCTTGAACCCAGAAGTTCAAGGCCAGCCTGGAGAACATAGACCTGTCCCAAAAAAAAAAAAAAAAGTAACCACTACTGCTTTAAGAGTGGAGGATTTGAATTTTGCCCTGTATGTGATACCCATTTTGGAACAGCTCGTTTAAAAAATAATAAAGTTGCCGGGTGCGGTGGCTCATGCCTGTAATCCCAGTACTTTGGGAGGCCGAGGCGGGCAGATCACGAGGTCAGGAGATCGAGACCATCCTGGCCAACATGGTGAAACCCCGTCTCTACTGAAAAAAAAAAAAAATTAGCTGGGCGTGGTGGCATGTGCCTGTAGTCCCAGTTACTCAGGAGGCTGAGGCAGGAGAATTGCTTGAACCCTGGAGGCAGAGGTTGCAGTGAGCCAAGATCGTGCCATTGCACTCTAGCCTGGTGACAGAGCAAGACTCTGTCTCAAAAAATAAAATAATAAAGCTTAAATTTCCTGAAATATGAAACTCTGAAATATAACAATTTTGGCCAAACCTGCATGTTGTTTACTAGGATTTTAAAACCATATGTGTAGGCAGGGTGTGGTGGGTCACGTCTATAATTTAGCCAGCACTTTGGGAGGCCAAGGCCAGAGGATTGCTTGAGCCCAGGAGTTCAAGACCAGCCTGGGCAACGTGGCAAAACCCCATCTCTACAAAAAATATAAAAATTAGTTGGGTGTGGTGGCATACACCTGTAGTCCCAGCTACTCAGGAGGCTGAGATGAGAGGATCGCTTGTGTCTGAGAGGTCAAGGCTGCAGCAAGCCATGATTGCACCACTGCACTCCAGACTGGGCAACAGAACAAGACCCTGTCTCTTTTGTGTGTGTGTGTGTGTGTGTGTGTGTGTGTGTGTGTGTGTGTGTGTGTGTAGTATATATATATGTGTGTATGTATGTGTGTATATGTATGTGTATGTATATGTGTATATGTGTGTGTATATATGTATGTATATATGTATGTGTGTATATATGAGTGTGTGTGTGTGTGTGTGTGTCTCCAATAAATCTTGTTAAAGGTAATGGGTAGCAAGAGTTATCTCAAGTAAGTGTTCCCCGGTTTCACCATTTTTCCCCCTTTTGGTCACAGTGTTAGAAACAGGGAAATGGACTTAGGATTAGCATAGTGAGGATCTCTGAGGGGACTTTGCATGTACATGTGAACGGTCTTTCCATCCCCAGATCTTTGAGACCTGTGTGATGAGAGCGGAACACGTTGGTCTAAGTTTTCTGTGACTTGAGTATCATTCTGCTATTAACTCCCTAGGAGTATTTTATGCTTTCTTGTGGTCCCCAATCAATCTGTAAGTTAAGTGAGTTAAGAAAGTTAAAACCAGTTTTCTTTTGACTCTTTTAGCGAAACCTTGAAAGCCATTTGATGTCCCCTGCTGAGATTCCAGGCCAGCCTGTCCCTAAGAACATCCTGCAGGTACTTCACAATCTTATACTGAGGCCTTGGAGTCTTGAACAGTAGTCTTCTGAACCAGTTTTGCTTAGTGGTCCAACTTTGGGCCTTAGAAAATGATCTGTGTTGCCTGGCAATCAGAGAGGTGATATTGTTGCCTGACATAGTTTGGTGTTGCTTTTAATCTCAATGGGCAGGGGATAGGGGATGGCTAAAAAAGTTGACAAAGTAAGCCTTGACTTCTAGTTTCCTTTGCAGTTTCTGTGAAACTTAAAAGTATCTAGCCAGGCACGGTGGCTCACACCTGTAATCTCAGCACTTTGGGAGGCTGAGGTGGGTGGATCACCTGAGGTCAGGAGTTTGAGACCAGCCTGGCCAACATGGTGAAACCTTGACTCTACTAAAAATACAAAAATTGGCCTGGTGTGGTGGCACATGCCTGTAATCCCAACTCCTTAGGAGGCTGAGGCGTGAGAATCGCTTGAACCCGGTAGGCAGAGGTTGTGGTGAGCCGAGATCATGTCACTGCACTCCAGCCTGGGTGATAGAGTGAGACTCTGTCTCAAAAAAAAAAAAAAGGAACCTCTATTTATAGCACTAACTTAGAGCATATGTTGCTAGCTGAACATTCAGATAAATGTGTTGCATGTACACATGCCAAGTCCTTCAGTTGAGCATGAGGGAGATCCATCTTGTGGCTCTCAAAAGTTAATCCATAATTCACAGCCTCTGAGTAGAAGGAATAACTAAGTTCACAGGGATTTGGCTTTTCTGCCTTTAGGAACTTCTGGGTCAACCAGTTCAGAGACCTGCTTCTTCCAATCTTCTGAGTGGCCTTATGGGGAGCTTGGAGCCTACAACATCTTTACTGGGCCAAAGAGCACCCTCTCCTCCCTTGTCACAGGTGTTTCAAACTCGAGCAGCCTCAGCTGACTACCTTCGCCCAAGAATACCATCACCAATTGGTAAATATACTTATTTGTCAAAAGAAATATGAATTTATGGCCAGGCACGGTAGCTCATGCCTGTAATTCCAGCACTCTGGGAGGCCGAGGTGGGCAGATCACCTGAGGTCAGAAGTTTGAGACCAGCCTGGCCAACGTGGTGAAACCCCATCTCTACTAAAAATACAAAAATAGCCAGACGTGGTGGTGCATGCCTGTAATCCCAGCTACGCAGGAGGCTGAGACAGGAGAATCGCTTGAATCTGAGAGGCGGAGGTTGCAGTGAGCCAAGATCACGCCACTGTACTCCAGCCTGGGCGACAGAGCGAGACTCTGTCTCAAAAAAATAAATAAATATACTTTTGGGGGATGGGGTACCAAACGTGGAAGATACCAGCTGCTCTTCTAGGTGAATATGTTCATGTTATAGATTTTTTTTTTATTGAAATCTAACTTTGATCTAGCTCTTTAGTCTTATTCCTTATTTTGGGAATTCAATCCAAAAAAAGTTAATTTGGCTTCTTAAGTTTTTCTTTGATATAGTAGAAGTCAGTGTAGTGGTTATCTATGAAGCTATTGAGTTTTGATAGACAATCTGCTGTTAAGTCTTATGGCTAATTCAGAATGTGACTGAAAGAAAAGTTCCAGAAAGTGTCTTAGCAAAGTATTTACATGGAATGTCGTAGTGTTCCTGCTATCCTAGGCCACTTTAGGCTGCTGGCCACTCTGGCTCCTGCCAAACAAACCTTGAGAGGCATTTTTTGAAATCTTCTGTCCACAGTCAAACAATGGAGAGAATGTGTATTCTCAGAGCAATGGTGTCTATTTTAATACCAGCTGGCTTAGTGATAACGGGACAAACTGCTGGCTAGGAAAGCTCTTCTCTCCCAGAGAGAGGTCTTGGCTTTAAAAGGAGCAATGCTGATGGCTTAGTTGAGAAGCAATTTGGACAGTGCTCTGGTTGAGGTCCACATAGCCCACTGTTGGGGCACAGAGGGAGAGGGACATCTGTCAGCCCAATAAATCAGTGCTTTCCAAGAGATGGCGTTCAGCAAGAAATGTCATGCATTAATGAAAATGCCTCCCTGATGCACACATACCATCTTGGTACTCACTGAGACTAACTTTCCCGACAGGTTTCACACCAGGACCACAGCAGCTACTCGGAGATCCATTCCAAGGCATGCGCAAACCCATGAGCCCCATCACAGCCCAGGTCAGGCTGAGCTTTCTCAAACTCAATCTCTTGCTTGCCCTTCACCCTCTTGGTGCATGGGGAGTGGAGAGCTGAACTGTTGTGATTCTTAAAAATGGTTTTGAGGCCAGGCATAGTGGCTCATGCCCGTAATCCCAGCACTTTGGGAGGTGGAGGCAGGAGGATCACTTGAGCCCAAAAGTAAATTTAAAAAATGAGCCAGGTATAGCGGCATGCATCTGTAGTCCCAGCTACACAGGAGGCTGAGGCAGGAGAATCGCTTGAGCCCAAGAGTTTGAGACTGCCGTGAGCTATGATGGTGCCACTGTACTCCAGCCTAGGTGGCAGAGTGAGACCCTGTCTCTAAAAGAAATGGTTTTGATCTATATTTCAAGCTCAGTGAAGGTTAGACAATTTGCTGAATAATTCAAGTAATACTTAAATTGTTAATCTTGTTCACTGCGATGGCAGCACAATCTAGTCAGTTTCGCAGTATCTAATTTTTTTCAGCTTCTGCTTAACATACCTTTCTAAGAGTGAAGAGAAACCTTTGTAGAAAGTGTGGTGTCCTTACTCTTCTCCTGACCCTCCCCTCTCCTTTTCAGCAGATGAGCCAGCTGGAGTTGCAACAGGCAGCTTTAGAAGGGCTGGCCTTGCCACATGACCTTGCTGTACAGGCAGCAAACTTCTACCAGCCTGGTTTTGGCAAACCACAGGTGGACAGAACCAGAGATGGATTCAGAAACAGGTAAATTACTAATCCTGCTCATGTGGAGATTTACGGATAAGTTTTCCTGAAACTAATAAATTACTTATCTGCAGTATAATTCTGTTGTACATACTGTGGTATGTTCAGTATGTGGTAGAAATTCCATCCCAATCCAAATCAATAGAAGAAATAGATTTAATAGCGGAAATATGATTAAATTCTACTGCAAGGCATAGGGCTTTCATTCTATATGGTTTTATTTCCGTTCTTGATTTATAAATTACTTTTTTTCCTTGAGTTTGCTAATTAGCCATATGGAAGGGATGCTGCTCGCCTAATTTACCTCACAAGATTGTTATGAGTAAATATATTTTAAAATCTTAGGATGTTTCTACCAGTTAAACCATTCATTTTTACAAATGAAACTAGCATAGCTCCTTATTCCTTTCCCCACAGATTCAATGTTCTTATCAAACTCCCTTGATGCAGGTTTGCTACATCAGCAGTTTTTTGGCCAGAGCTGACAGGTTTGTTGATCAGAGCTGTTAACAAGTAGAGTACTGAGTTCACTCTTCTCTTTTTCGATAGTTGCAACAAATGGTAAAATGAAATTAATCATAAGTTAGGGAGAAAAGGGAAAGGAGTGGCAATATTATTTTATTGTAAAATAAAACAGACAAAACTATATAAAACAAATGTGTAGCTTATTATAAGGCAAACTTCCTTGTTAACTACTCAGAGGGCCTCCATGTGCCCTGTGCCAGTAATACCCCTTTTCCTCCTCAGAACTCTCCACTGTCCAGCCTTTAAAAGTAATCACTACCTTAATTAAAAATAATTTATCACCAAAATGCACATCCCTGAACACTATAGTTTAGTCTACCTTTAAAATACTCGGTACTTAATGTTTTGATGTGATTCTTAAAGTTACTACCACAGTGCCTCAGTGTTTTGCTTCAGCTGGTTTTACCTGTTAACCCTTTCAGAAGATACTGAGACCAGGAGATAGCCTTACACAAGCACATCCTATTTATAGCACCCTTCCACCGAAACAGAGAGCTCCAGACTGGTCTGCTGAACCCCTCTCACGTGCTTTCTGTCTATAGCATAATGCAGTTACCTAGTATTCATTGATGTGATTTGTGACTTTCACAGTACTTTTAACTTTTTTTTTTTTTTGGAGACAATCTCTTGATCTGTTGCCCAGGATGGAGTGCAGTGGCACAATCTTGGCTCACTGCAACCTCCTCCTCCTGGGTTCAAGCAGTTCTCATGCCTCAGCCTCCCGAGTAGCTAGGATTACAGGAGTGTGCCACCACACCCGGCTAGTTTTTTGTATTTTTAGTAGAGATGGGGTTTCGCTATGTTGGCCAGACTTGAATTCCTGGCCTCAAGTGATTCACCTGCTTCGGTCCCCAAAGTGCTGGGATTACAGGCATGAGCCACCGCACCTGGCCCAGAATTTTATATGATCTTCATATCAACCCTGTGAGGTAGATGGGGGGGGGGGGCGGTACGTAACTGCATTTTACAGATACAGAAAACAGGTTTTTAAAACATGGCTTACTCAAAACTAGCAAGCATATTTGAGTCATTTCAGTCTAGCCTTCATGTTTTGGATCAGCATCAGCCTCTTAGGTCCTCCCTGTGTACAGTTGTGTCCCTCCAACAAACATGCCTTTCCCCTTACCTTGCTTTTTTAAATTGTATTCATCACTGTCTAGCATATTATTTATTGTTTGTCTCCCTGCCTGTAGTAACCCCACTCCATCCTGCAGCCCCAAGAATGTAACCTCCATGAGGCCAGAGATTATTTTTCTTTTATTCACTGCTGTATTCCAAGAACCTGGAACAGTGTCTGTAGCAGGTGCTCAAATATGTTTACCAGAAGGAATGATAGGTCATGTGGGACCCTCAAGTTTGGGGTTCATTTTTTAGTCACTCAGAATAGTACTGATCTGTCTGCCCATGTTGTCATACACACAGTCACAGCATGGCAGCAATGGGGTACTAACTAGAAAGAAGCCATGAATTTAGGTTTTCCATCTATCTGTGATTCAGAGAACTTCAGGTCAGTGACTATACTTGGGCCTTGACCTTTGAGGCCTGAGGTCAATCTTGTGTAGACCAAGAGTGGTCCTAAAATAGCTGAAACTCTTGATTCTGTATTTGATTTGAACGAGTGTCACACACAGCATCAGTTCTGTGCCAGGCACTGTGCTAATTATTGCCGCTCCCTGCCCAGTGAAGCACAGGCAGCCCAAGAATGAAGGCCCTCCCTAGCGCACCTCACTGGTGTAGTCTGCAGTAAACTATACACCAGCTCTGGATAACCCTACAACTCCCAAGTTCCTGTACCTATTCTGTCTACCTGAACTGTTGTTCTCTAGCTTCTTCTTGATCGCACCCAATGGAATGCAGCTTCTTCCCCAGGAAGCATCCCTGCAGTGCCTTGTTATTTCTTCTAACCCCTCCATTTTCCCATTGTACTTTGTTGGTGCCTAATATCTACATGCCTTGGTTTGCTCTAGGTGATTGTCTCCCCCGCTAGACTGAGAGCTCTTACAAGACTGGGACTGTGTTTCATTTTCCTTTTGTCTTCCCTCAGAGCTTAGCATGTGCTTTTGTGTATGTTAGGCCTAAATGCTTGGGAAATTGAATTGGATAAGGGAAAGGGGATGTTAAAACTTCTAGGCTGGTCTTGAGTATTATATGGTTTTAAGACTTGAAGTTAAGCAGATTGGGGTTCATGCTGATAATTGGTTTGTTCACAGGCAACAGCGAGTGACCAAGTCACCAGCACCCGTGCATCGAGGGAATTCCTCTTCCCCTGCCCCTGCTGCCTCCATCACAAGCATGGTCAGTGACCTTTAGTAACTGTGAAGGACTTTAAGGCTTCTCCCTGTTTGGTTGTGCATGGATTGTACCACTGTGTGCCCTAAATGTCCTTGAGTTCCTTCCACGGAAATAACTGACCTAGTAGTTTTTCATAACTGTCTATTAGGTCTTTCCCTTTTAGGACACAGTCTAAGTCTTAGGATTTTAATGAAGCCCCTATATTGGGGAAAATATGTTCCAGCAGAGATGATCATGGGCCAGGGCACACGAGGTGATATAGTATGTTCAAAGAAATGAACCAGGTGTGGGGAGACAGGAGGACGATAGTGAGAGACAGGAGGTGAAGTGGACAGAGGTGACTGGGTCAGACAGTGGGGAGTCTATTGAAACTTGCAGGGGAGTTCACAAATTCGGATTCACCACTTCAGGTCTCAGTGATATAAACTAAGGCTGGAACAGAAGGGTTTGCTTATATGCAGTGAGAAGTCTAGTTTTATAACTATCATTACTTTAAAAAATGTTTCATTCCAGCTGGGCGTGGTGGCTCACGCCTGTAATCCCAGGACTTTCAGAGGCCGAGGTAGGTAGATTGTTTGAGTTCAGGAGTTCAAGACCAGACTGGGCAACCTAGTGAGACCCTGTCTCTACCCCTAATACAAAAAATTAGTCGGGCATGGTGGTGCACATCTGTGGTCCCAGCTATACTCGGGAGGCCGAGGTGGGAGGATCACTTGAGTCCAGGAGGCAGAGGTTGCAGTGAGCCAAGATCGTGCCACTGCCCTCCCTAGTGAGTCCCCGTCTCAAAAAAAAAAAAAAAAAAGGTTCATTCCCCACAAATCTTTATCATCTAATCAAAGCCGATAGAGAAGAAGGAAAAAAAAAAATAACTTTGCTGCGTGCTTCAGAACCCCACGTGGGTCTTTGCACCGGTGACCTTGAAGGCAGCAGGGTTTGGAAAGAACTTTTTTGTTTATAAGTCAAGCCCTGTCTCCTGCCATCAAAGATGTGGGGTTGTTTGGTGAGAAAAGGCAAATGCATAATAAAATCACCAAGGTAGAAATAGTGAAGAGGTAAGAAATGACTCCAAATGATTAATCCTGATGGCTGAGGAGACTATTGAGATAAATTTGACTTTTCTGGTAGCCAAGTTAAGGGAAATATTAGGAGTATGGAGTAATTCTGGTTTTGATGTTATCTTTGAAATGTCAAGGAAGGTCTGTTGCTCCAAGTTATATTTCTGGCCATGTTCTTTCTCTTGCCAGCCTAATCCCAGGCTGGGAAATCTGTGACGCAGAGGCTGCATAGGCATGTCCCCATTATCACACAGTTGTAAGCAAGGGATAATGTACTTGGGACACTGCCTATTTGCCCCATTCTGTTTTTCCTCCAGCAGCTACAGAACAGAATACTACAGTTGGCCTATGCTACCAATGTGGGGACTCTTTGTTGAGTATCTTGACAAGTTAATCCTGGCTTAGTATTAGAGAACGGCACTTAGAGAATGTGCTAATGCCAATTGTTTTTCTCTGCAGCTTTCTCCTTCCTTTACCCCTACCTCAGTGATTCGTAAGATGTACGAGAGCAAAGAGAAAAGCAAGGAGGAGCCAGCATCTGGAAAAGCAGCTCTTGGTGACAGTAAAGAGGATACTCAGAAGGCCAGTGAAGGTACTGCAGAGCTGTTAAGGGCACTGCTCAAGAAAGTATGTGATGGAGAAAACATGGGCCTGAGCGCTGACCAGCCTGATATTCTATACAAAGCCCTGGGCAAGACCACTAGCTTCTCTGGACTATGGTTCTGTGTCAGTGAGAAGGTTCTGTGTGACAGTGAGAAGAATTGGGCCAGCTCACAATTGCTTGGTTGCTTGAAATTTGACCAATCTAAGAGTGCTACTACCAGACGGGTAGAATGAGTGTTAGTTTAGAATCCTTAGTTAGGCTTCAAAGTTAATAATTAGTATACTTATTTGGCAAATTAATATAATTCAGCGAGTTTTACTTCTGAAAGATTATGTCCAGCCTGTGGAGACTTAAGTGTCCAACATAGAAAATATGTGAGAGGCTTTTAGGAGTTGCACAGTAGGGATTGTGAAGGACGTGGTAACATGCGGATTCCAAATTAGGGTTTACAGAGGTGTTAAAAGTACAGATCTGAGAGATTTTTGCCTGTGTTTGAGAAGGCTTGGGGTGGGTGGTGGGGAGGAAATCCTGTTGGTACTATTAAGACAGTTTGGGTTCTTTGACCAGACTCTAATTGCCATTTAGATTTTCTGTTGTGATAGATTTGCATAATCTAGGCCACAGCCATTTGTGCAGAGAAGGGTGCCCAACAATTCATCTTCTGGTCCTGTTTATGAAGCAAACGATGGTTCCTACCGTGTAGTCCTCTAAACTTGTTAAGGGTATCAGATAAGAATTGTGACCTTAAGAAATGAGATTTATTAGACCAGTGGGAGGCCACAAGTGTTTGGGAGAGGTTTGCCAAAATATTTTTTGTTTGGTTCCTCACAGAAAACCTCCTGTCATCCAGCTCTGTACCCAGTGCCGATCGAGACTCTTCTCCCACTACAAATTCCAAACTGTCAGCATTACAGAGGTCTTCGTGTTCCACCCCACTGTCCCAGGCCAACCGTTACACCAAAGAACAAGATTATCGACCTAAAGCAACTGGGAGAAAAACACCCACCTTGGCATCCCCAGTTCCTACAACACCTTTTCTCCGCCCTGTCCACCAAGTTCCCCTTGTCCCCCATGTCCCTATGGTTAGGCCTGCTCACCAGCTTCACCCAGGGTTGGTACAGAGGATGCTGGCCCAGGGAGTACATCCACAGCATCTTCCAAGTTTGCTCCAAACTGGTGAGTTTCCAGCCTGACTTGGGTGTCGTCAGTTTGTGGGCCTAGGGGACAATTGTTGGCACTGATGAAGTGCTATAATGTGGGAGATTTCCATCCCTAGAAAGATGTTACTAGATTCTCCCATCTAACTGGCAGGCAGTGGGCCCAATCCAGTCAATCCCCTAGTCCTTTAAAAGATTAGGAACCTAGCTTGAAGATTCTTTTTTTTTTTTTTTTTTTTTTTCCTTTTTGTAGAGACAGAAGTCTCACTCTGTCTGCCTGGCTGGAGTGCAGTGGCGCAATCTCAGCTCACTGCAACCTCTGCCTCCTGAGTTCAAGCAATTCTCCTGCCTCAGCCTCCCGAGTAGCTGGGACTACAGGTGCACGCCGCCACACCCGGATAATTTATTTTGTATTTTAGTAGAGACAGGATTTCACCGTGTTGCCCAGGCTGGTCTCAAACTCCTAAGTTTAGGCAGTCCACCCACATCGGCCTCCCAAAGTGTCAGGATTACAGGCGTGAGCCAGAGAATTCTTCATTCTTTTTTGAGTCTCGCTCTGTCGCCCAGGCTAGAGTGCAGTGGCGCGATCTCTGCTCACTGCAACCTCTGCCTCTCCCGAGTTCTAGGTCCCTGCCTCAGCCTTCCGAGTAGCTGGGATTACAGGCGCCTGCCACTACACCTGGCTAATTTTTGTATTTTTAGTAGAGACAGGGTTTCACCATGTTGGCCATACTGGTCTCGAACTCCTGACCTCGTGGTCCGCCTGCTTTGGCCTCCCAAAGTGCTGGGGATTACAGGCGTGAGCCACTGCGCAGAGCCCTTCATTCTTAACAAACTTCCAGATCAGCAAAACTGTACAGTGAAGCTGGAAAACTTCCAGGTAACATTAAGACTACTCAGCTGCTTGCTTTTTCTGCTCAACAGGTGTGCTTCCTCCTGGGATGGACTTGAGTCATTTACAGGGAATATCTGGCCCCATCCTGGGTCAGCCCTTTTACCCTTTACCTGCTGCTAGTCACCCTCTCTTAAACCCTCGTCCTGGAACACCTCTGCATCTGGCAATGGTGCAACAGCAGCTACAGCGCTCAGGTAGGTTCAGGAATGTGACAGGTGAGTTTGGGACGGACTTAGGGAGTCTTGAAGCTTTGAGGACTAGTTTCCAGTGGAGATGAATTAACACTTTCATTCTTTAACTTGTTCTAAGTTTGGGACAAAGTGTAACCAGATAATAAGATGAAGTAAATTGACCTCTATGCAATTTGGGATTACTGTTCCTGCAAAGTCAGTGGGAAAAGCCAAGTGTTTTCTGGCTTTTTCCTTTGCCTGTTAGGAGAGAGGGCTGAGAATCCAACAGAGGTTCAGCATCCGGCCTGCCCAGGGTATATACCCCCTCACCAGTTCATGTTGCTGCTTCTGTGATGTGGTTACTTAGCCATGAGAAGTAGCGGTCATGTCATCCAGGGTGGGTTTTCAATACTGGTAGCTTCTGAATAGCTCAGCTTTCCATGGTACTGTTTTCTGGCATTGTTGGTATTTTGCAAAGGAGTTTCTAAAGAAGCCCTAGAAAAAATCCTCTAGTAAAGACTTTTCTTTGGATAGGGTTTGAATGAAGCAGGGTCTAATAAACTTTCCTTCTCATGCTGTGAATGATAACCCTTCTTATCTCCACAGTTCTGCATCCTCCAGGCTCTGGTTCCCATGCAGCAGCTGTCAGCGTTCAGACAACCCCTCAGAACGTGCCCAGCCGGTCAGGCCTGCCCCACATGCACTCCCAGCTGGAGCATCGCCCCAGCCAGAGGAGCAGCTCCCCTGTGGGCCTTGCCAAATGGTTTGGCTCAGATGTGCTACAGCAACCCCTGCCCTCCATGCCCGCCAAAGTTATCAGTGTAGATGAATTGGAATACCGACAGTGAGCAGGGCAGGCAGACTCAACTAAGCCCGGACCTGTGGTGGCACACTGGGCAGGACCCTGCTTCATCTCGGGTTGGTTTATGGGCTTTTACTTTGGAGCACTCTGTGTGAAGCTGTTTGGTGGAACCCATGCATCTGGTGTGGTCCGCATTATGATGGAAGGATCTTAACCAGTCGAGTGGAGTGTACATTGTCTGAATACAGGATGCACAATGTTGTCAATCCTGGAAATGGTCTTTCTTTTTTGTAAGATATGTGAATGAAGTGTTGGTGTCCTCACCAAGAGGTGGCACCTAAGGGTTCTGAGGAAATAAATGTATAGACCCTTATGTACAGACCTGTGTATAAACAACTTTTGTATATACATATAGGATAGCTTTTTTGAACTATACAGCTGTACATAAAAGTAGCTGATATTAGTTAGGCCTGTGTCAACAGTTTGGATTTTTTTCACTTGTACATTTGGGATTTTCTTTTGGTTGATTAAAATTGCATATGCTAAGTGTGTGAATGAAGTAACTGACATTGTTGTGTTTATTTCCTCTCTGAAACCCTTCCTAATTTTGTTTGGAGACAGGGTCTCACTCTGTGTCACCCAGGCTGGAGTACAGTGGTGCAATCGTGGCTCACTGCAGCTTCAACCTCCTGGGCTCAAGCGATCCTCTCACCTCAGCCTCCCAAGTAGATGGAACTACAGGCACATGCCACTAACTTTTTTCTTATTTTTTGTAGAGGCAGGGTCTTACCATGTAGCCCAAGCTAGTCTTCCTAATTTCTAACCAGCCAAGCTATGCTCAGTATGTTCCTTTAAGGAAGTGATCTGAAGTTTAAGTAAGTTAAGTTTTTCTTGAAAACCCATGGAAATTGGGCACTGTGGCTCACGCCTGTAATCTCAGCACTCTGGGAGGCAGAGGCAGGCGAATCACAAGGTCAAGAGATCAAGACCATCCTAGCCAAGATGGTGAAATCCCATCTCTACTAAAAATACAAAACTAGCTGGGCATGGTGGCCCACACTTGTAGTCCCAGCTACTCGGGAGGCTGAGACAGAAGAATCGCCTGAACCTGGGAGGCAGAGGTTGCAGTGAGCTGAGATCACGCCACTGCAGTCCAGCCTGGCGACAGAGTGAGACTCCATCTTAAAAAAAAAAAAAAGTTAATTGGACTCTATCTTGATTTAGGAGAAATCAACTATGGCCTTTTTCCTTGAGCTTTAAAGACCCCAACAGGTCAGTTTATACTGGACTGACCCTATAGATAGCATAGCCTTGTGGCTAATACCAGGATATCTATAGTGTAATTTCCAAGATTAAACTGACCTAGTGAAAACAGTTTATTGAGGAATCATCTATTACATATGGTAGTTTCTCTCAAACAAATCATGTTTACTGGGGCATCCTGTTTCTCTAAGCTCAGAGTTCTGAGCTTAGACCCACTGAAGTCTAAGAATTTCCCTTAAGACTCATGCATTAATTGACTCCTTGTGTTCTGTATCACATTCCTTAGCTCACAATTGTTTTATTATTCACCTTAACTATTAGTATATACATAGCACTTACGGATAAAGATTCTACAGAATACAGTACAGTTCTGAGTCCCCTTTCCTAACTGGAGGTTTTTCAGTCCTGCTATGAGGTGATACTTATTTCCCATGCTACTCAAGTTAATTTACCAGAGTTCTAGATATTTGTCCATTCAGGACCATTTTAGGACTCCATGCTAAAGGGTCAGATAATGAGGTAAAGGTCAAGGTGGTTGGATTTTTGACTACAAGGGTAGTAGAGTCTTGGGCAGCCTAAGTCTTGACCGTTTGTTAGGGAATAATGACTATAAGCCTGGAACTGCCCACCCTGCCGTGTACTTGCAGGAATACAAGAAAGCAGGTCACCTTTCAAGAAAACCTGGCTTTATGGATTATGCATGAAGTCAGTCTCTTCCTGGTACTTTTCTTTCAGCCTCATTAGTAATCCCCTTCCCCCATGCTATTCACTCCATGTGATTCCTCAGCTTCAGAAATAGACCCTCTGTTTAGAATTTTTGGCAAATGCTTTCTGGTTTCCACAGGTGGAAGCTGGAACGCAGTCCCAAGTGTCAATGGCAGAACACAGACACCTGAATCCAGTTCCACCTTTCCTGTGTATCCTCTTCCACTTATCTTACTTCCCCTTCATGTTGAACCAACGTTAATAGGTGCAAGGTAAGGAGGACTGGGTTGAAGCTGCTAGTAAAGGCTTCCTTTTCAGACTAGAAGCTAGTAGGACAGAAACAGGTACCATGCAAAGAGCAAAGCCATTAGCTGGTGATTGGCAAATGGCGCCAGAAGGAAATAAGGGAGTATTGCTAAGAGTATCAGCAGAAGCTAGACATACAGGTTTTAGCAAAAGTATTTTGGTAAACACAAGGACTAGAGGAAGCGGGAGGGTGGGGGGGGGATGAAGGCAAAAGACACATTAATGCAGTCTTCAAGGAGCTAAGACCTTGATATAGGATGAGGGCAGAGAGGAAGGGATGTCTTTGGAGAAACTTTTGATGTCTTGCAGGCACGAGATGAGTTCACAAGCAATCAGTGCTGGAAGGATGTGCAAAATAAAAGTTAAGAGAAGCTGAGGATATAGAAGGCATCCTGAAAGTAAAACAGCTGAGGACCACAAAGCATATCATGGAAAATCTGTTAAGCAGGGGAGGTCAGGTAGGAGAGGAAAGAATAGTCCCTCCCAAAGGAAGCAGTTAAATAAGTCTGTGGGAGGTCAGTGGTAAAAGGAAGTGGGAATGAAGTGAACAGAGAGTGCAGCTAGGCCTTCCCCTAGGAGATAGCTACTGAGTGTCTTTTAAGCCAGACTCTATTAACAGGGAAGGGAAGTGGGAGGTCCATTGGCCTTTGTGAACTATGAGCATAAACACAAACCAAGAATGACGATAACTTACAGGGTTAAATTCTGGTTCTTCAATAATTCTATTCCCTTTACCAACAATTGATTCAAAAATAGACATGTGACCCAATTTTAGGCCACGAGACAACAAACTGGGTGGCTTCTGGAAAACAGCT